>NC_000012.12:28306211-28458906 GCF_000001405.40 Homo sapiens | reverse complement strand
ATATCCATTTTTCACTCCAAGTTGAAAAGGCACAAAACTGGAGGTAAAGAAGTCTACATAAGAGGTCAAGGTAAGCAATAAGAATATTGAGACAAAGATAACAGGTTTGAAGTAAGTGTATATGTTTAAGGATTATTTTTCAGGTAAAATGGAAAGGTTCTGATAATTAAAAAGATGTGAGGTGGGTGGATTACAAGGTCAGTAGTTTGAGACCAGTAATTTGAGTCTGGCCAATATGGTGAAACCCCATCTCTACTAAAAATACAAAAATTAGCCAGGTGTGGTGGTGTGCACCTGTAGTTGCAGCTATTCAGGAGGCTGAGGCAGAAGAATTGCTTGAAACCAGGAGGGGGAGGTTGCAGTGAGCTAAGATAGCACCCCTGCAATCCAGCCTGGGCGACAGAGTGAGACTCCATCTTAAAAAAAAAAAAAAAAAAAAAAAAAAAAAAAAGGTGTGCAAATGAGGACAAAAGGGAAAATCTAGGATGAATTCTCATTCTCTGGACTGAAAAACTTGGCAGATGTTGTATTACAGACATCTCACTGAATGACTATAACTGAAAAAAATATAATAGAAGGAAAAAAGGACTTAGATGAAAAGGTATAATTTCTCTATAGATATGATACATTTGATAATTTAAAATGTCATTATGATTTTATTATCATCTAGATTATTATCAAAGTATTGTAAATAAAAAATTTAAAATGAATGAATGAATCAAAACTAAAGAAGTCAGCACAGAAAAATTTCAGGGTTGTGAAAATAGCCTGCTAAGCTAAAATAGAAATGCTATTTCCTTTTTTAAAAGAAGGGTCAGGTGGCAGTACTAAATTTCTTAAGGAAAATTTAACCACTGATTGTAATGTCTGTGGCTTCTCGGGAAAACATAACCCCAAATTACAGTGGCTGTGGTTATAAACCATTATGAAGAGCTTCCAACGTCAGACATAGTTTGAGTGTCTGTGTGCACTGGAGTTCTTTTACAGGATTTTGCTAGAACAGCAAAATTAATGACTATCCTCTTTTTGCCTACTTTGGTGTCAATAACAAACGTCTTTTCCTTTACTTAACAAAGACTTTTAAGTGACCCAGAATTAATTTAATATGAAAATCAATAAGCCAGGGTCATAAATTTTCCTCTTATTATCTCAGAAAAAAAGTACAATTTACAATCAACACTAAGACTTAGTCTTAACTTACGATCAAGGCCAAAGGAAAACATCTCTCAAGTAAATTCTGAGAATTATCTACCACAATCCTTAGGTACTCGGTTTTCTGTCATAGTTTAACATTTATCTCCTCAGTAAATGCCAGTACTAGCAGAGAGGAAATCTGGAGGTAAATTCTAAAGCAGAAGCTGATTTTTCCCTTTTCATTTCTCAGGAATAATTGAAGTGGCTTAAGTTGCACAATGTTTTTGTGTTGCCATACTAGATCATTTCCTAATTTCTACTGTGACTTAGTAGACAAAGAAAGATATTAACTGCTATTAATTATGGTTGCTTTTTAGTTTTCTTTAAAAGAACATTTGAGTGCTGTGAAGTGACCTAAACCTTAGAATTCAAAAACGGCTTCCAAGCTTTTAAAAAGTCAGTCCCTTCAGTTAATACTCAAAACAGTTTGTAGGTCCCTGGAGAGAGGCTCTTCAGGTCTATGTATCCCAACTAGCTGCCAAACACCTAAAAGACAGAATGAGCACTGACTTCTGCATCTAGGCTGGGGCTCAGCAGAAAGTGGCAGAAGCTGTTGTTCGTAGTGGTGACCTGAGCTTCCTAGAAAGTCTGGATGAATGCCTGGCTACTCAATCATGGGTTACAGGGTGACACAGACAGCACCAATAACTTTAACACTTTCATTATTTCATCTGAAGTAAAACTGTTACGTGTGAAACTATTTACAGTTAATCTAAAGTGGCCATATTCTTTCTAGGTAGAAGATGGACACAATCCATAAAAGAATGTCATAGAACCCTATCTAGAAATTATTTCCTTTTTATTTATTTGGCTTTAAATAACAACTATATGCTTATTAATCCAAAATTTCTATCTCCAGGCCTGACAACTCCCCTGAATTCCATTTCTATATTTCTAACTGCCTACTCAACATTTCCTCTAGGCTCATGAATAAGCATCACACATTTAATACACACAAATTAGATTTTTTAACCCCATGAAACTTAACCTTTTCTCACCTCAGTAAATGAAATTACATCCAAAATCACCATCCATCCAGTCAGTTATTCTGATAGTCATTTGTTTTTTAAAAATCAGCTCTATTAAGGTATTACTTACATATAATTTTCACAAATATTAAGTGTGTAATTTGATATGTTTTGTCAAATATAAGCGCTATCACAATCAAGACATAAAACATTATCATCGCCCTCAAAAAATTCCCCTGCCCTCAGTTATTGTAACTACTGATGTGTCTTCTCTCATATCACTTTTGTCTTCCCTAGAATTTCATATAAATTGACTTATATGAAATGAAAATTTACTGAGTTTGGCTTCTTTCCTAACTATATTGTCTAAAGAAATCCCCTACAACCATTATCAGCTAAATATATAACCCCAAACTTTTTCTTCCTAGCCCACAGCACCACACGGCATGATTTGCTTATCATAGCTCTTTTCCAACTTGAATGTAAGCTCTGTGAAAGCACAGGGGCCTTGACTATCTTGCTTAATGTTGTGTGTCAGAAACGTGTAACAGTGCCAAAACATGGCAGAGGCGCCATAAATGTTACAGAATGGACAATACATAAAAATAACACCTTCTTAAAGTTTTGCCTATAGAACTTATCTATCAGTTTCCTAGGATCATTTCAAACACTAAATGATAAATGACATAAATCTGTACTTTATACTAAGATGAGAACACAGGGAGATGGAATAGAGTAGTGGCAAAATACAAGGCCTCAGGAGTTAAACTGCCTGAATTTGAATACTGACTGTTGACTCCTCTAAAAAGTCACATGGCCTAAAACAAGTTACATAATCTCTGTAAGCTTTAGTCTCCCCATCTGTAACAATGGGGATAATAATAGTACCTACTTCATAAGGTCATTGTGAGGAATTGACATAAAACATCTAAAAAAATTAGAAAAGTGCTCAGCACTTAGAATTAATGATAGTCAATGTTGTTAATTATTGCCATCTCCACCACCACCAGTTCTGCTATTATCTTACTGCTATTATTTTCTGCAGGCAAAGCTACAAAGAAAAAAAAAAACATAAAAATACCTTTTTAGCTAAACTAACTTAATATATTTGCTTAGAATAAAGGCAACTTAATGAAACTTGAACATGGGGAACTATTATTGTTTCCCTTATTGTTATCAGATAATGATCTGTCAGCTTTTGTAATGCCCTTTATTTGAGGGATTTTCCCTAAAAGAAGTAACAAGGACATTAATTATAAATGTGAAACTCAGTTAAAATCCTCCAGGGTATGTACAGAATGAAGAGGCAGTATTTCAGATTCCTATCACTAGTAGCCCAGGGGTAAAGTCTATTTATAAATTATACTTCTAGTCTTGCAACGAAACTAATTTAGGGTAATTAATTAAGCTCATGGGACTTTATACAAACCAATCTGTAGTAATATATTAGTTTTTCCAATTGGCTTTTCCTAGGAAACTAATATGATTAATTAATAAATGATATCTATAAACTTATTTGAAAATTTTGGACAACAAATACAATTAAGTCCTAAAAAGCATCTTCTGGGAAGTATACTCTTCAGGATATTTACTGCATGTTTTCTACATGCCTATTTTTCTTGTAGCTGGTATTTTACAACTAGCATAATTTTCATTTTTTTGAATGATTATAATCAGATACATTATTCATTTACTTTTTCCTTTACCTTGGGAATTTAGAAAAATATTAAAATACCAGATGATGTCAACAAGAGGTGAAACAGGAAAACCCTGGATCCTCTGTCCTTCCATGGAAACACTCAATTTACAACGACGCATGCACAAATACCCTTTGTGGGAAATCCAGAGACAAACTGAAAGGGTCCTTCACCCTGGGCAAGCATGAAACCGGCTATACTGAAACTGGTAGGAAAACTCAAGACCTAACTCTCACCACAATCCCTATCCCCAGTACAGTGCCATATGATCAAAGGAAACCCACAGCTCTCAACTTCTCTGGTGGGAAGAAAGTTGGATTACATGTCCAACCAACCTTTCTAGAAACTGCCCAGGTTACTCGCTTCTGTCTTACCTATCTCAGAGCCGTAACAGGACCTGGCATACTACTGATGCCTGGGGGCCTGTGAGAATAAAGATAGCGGCTTAAATTAACAAGCAAACAGTTGTTATAGCCTACTCTCCTGCCCAGTCCAAGAAAGATGGCAAAAAACCTCAGACTGCAGCCTCTCCCTAGGGAGGGAAAGAGCTGGACTACGTGTCCAAAGTTCGAATTTTTCCAGGGGCTCCTGGGAGACTGGCTTCTGTCTCACCTATCTGCAAGCATTGGAACACCATGTACTATAGACAGCTATGCGGTGCCAACAACAAACACAGCAGTTTGGATTAGCATAAAGGTTTGAGAGGCCCACAAAATCTCTGATTAGGTTGATTGGTGTGGGTCTTCACCAGTACAAGGCCAGTCAGTGAAGACTGTGAGAGGTAGCTGTTATTTCTAATGCATAGAAACCAACATATAGAGTCAAGAAAAATAAATAAGGAATAATGTTCCAAACAAAGAAATAAATGTCCTGAAATCCACCCAAATGATACAGAGATATATAATTTAACTTGGCAGAGACTTTCTAGCAAAACGTGCAAACATTTGTAAGGAAATTAATATAATTTATTCAAGACATGTTTAGATTGTCTTCACCATATTCTGAACCTATAGAAGACAAATTTCAAAGTAGTGTATCATATACTGCATGTTTCTTGTAGACTCTTGACAAATCAGCAGAGAAGTGTGCTCTTTAAAATATATATTTTTCCATTAGGATGACGAATATGTGCTGATTTTTTTCATGCCTTCTTACCCAATTCAAGTGATGAATGGCCCACATCTATGTGAGGTTACAGGAATGTTCGGGGTCATAAAACAAATTTAAATAAACTCTCCCGAATAAGAACTTAGCCAGTGAACTTGACCTTACTGGCATGAAATTCCAACCAACTGAAGTGACAAACATTTTATATGCAATAGGTACTCAATATATATTTATTGATAGGTTACGGTAAGAATTAGAAGGTAATATTGCTTTAGTGAAAAAACGCAAGAAAAAAAAAGATCTGCTACTGTACTACTGTTATTTTAACATAGATGGTACCTACAGATCTGTTTAATTTTTGTAATAAATGGGTAACTGTGTGTTCCTGAGAATAAACAAGTGACATCTTTTAAAAATATAACTTTTATCTTGGATATTAAAAACTTTGAGCTTTTTACGGCTTCATTAAGATTAATGAGTCATAAAAAAAATCTGGGTTGATCTGAAAGGTTAGTCATTTTAGCTGCATTTATAATGTGAATGAACAATTGTAGTATATTTAACAGTTTGAACATGTTAGACTTCTATGAATGTTATTCTTTTGCTTTTGATACTTAAGGGAAGATTTATTTAAGTACTTCTGCCTATATATATATAAAAAGACTAATTCAAGTAAAATAGAACTGTGCAAATTCAATTACAGAAAAACAAACTAAGGTAGTGTTTTTAATTGTCAGATAAACAATCAAAAGTTATTCTGCATGTAGGTCATGCCTGTTGATCATTATGTATCTTTATGAGACTATAGGGAATATTTGTGAGGTTTTATTAATTATTGTTACCAACTATAGGTATAGAGATTTACAAATTAGAATTATAAATTAATTGAATCAAATTGTTTTCTACACAAATATATTATTTTGTATTGATTGAGTCTGTGTGCATGTGTGCGTATGTGTCTCTATGTATGAGAAAAGGAAAAACAACACAGAAAGGTTAATATATTTGCAATGACTAAACATAAATTTTGTTTTGACCTTTTAGAAAATAAAGTAAAAGGGTAAAATGGTCAGTTACTAAGTTTTCAATATCAGAAAGATGAAAGCACATTAAAATATTAAAAATGATTAATTCAAAATATAAACATCAAAATGAAAATTAAAAATTAAAAAGTCATAAATATCTACTAAGGTTGTTTTAAGTAAGATAAAAGATAGAGTAAGGGTACTTCATTTTGAGAAAAATGAGAAAAAAGTAAATATTTACTAACAGTTAATATTACTAACCTGACTTATTTTTCTTTGTTCTTGTATAGCTTTTTGAATTTCCTGAGATACTTTTTCTTGATCTTTTGCATGTTCTGTCTTCCATAATTCCCTTTCTTCAGCATGCGCTTTTTCTAAATTTTTTCTTTCTTCTTCTACGACTTTTAAAACTGCATCCTTCACTGCTTCTTTTTCAAGCTTCAAAATAAATAAAGACCAGAACAAATTTGAAAGACTGCATAATAATTTCTTGAGTAACAGACTTGGTTAACCTAAAAGATAAAAAACTTTGATCCTATAGTGTTTAGTTCTAACATTGCTGTTTTTATGCATAGTAAATAACTGCTACAAAATAAAATCTATTATTCTTTTTTATACAAATATTCCTACTTAATTTCCATGGCATTTCTAATCTTCAAAGAAATCAGGCCTTAGGGTGGAGTAGCAGATTTCAAACTATATGGTCTAAAGATCCCTTTACAATCTTAAAATTATTGAGGATATCAAAGAGATTTTGTTTATGTTGATCATATGTATTAATACATATTAGAAATTCAAGAAAAAATAAAATTATTAATTCATTTAAAATTAATATAATTGCATGATATTAACAAATAATATATTTTATGAAAAACTACTTTCTAAAATTAAAAAAGGAAAATGCTACTGTATGTGTCTGTAAATCTCTTTAATATCTGACTTAACAGAAGACAGCTAAATTAATTCTTATTTCTTCCTTCTGTGTTAAATCTGTAATGATGTTTTTTAGTTGAAGTATATAAAGAAAACCCAGTCTCACACAGATAGGTTGTAGGAAAAACTGAGTATTTAGTAGCCAGTTTAAATAATTGTGGATATTCTTGATGATTTCACATCAGAACTTGACAAGGACTAGTTCTTAAAGGTTAGGTGTCATAATGAAAATAAAATTATGTCAAATGAAATTTTCATGCTATTATATTACAGTCCTTTCTTGCAATCTGAATGAATCATTTATCGATGCATAATTTTTAACATTTTTATGTGAAAAATATTGATTCACTGAGTTACATGTCTTCTCCAGATGCTGACACATTTCTGTATATCATAATTTAAAAATCACATTTGTTAATGTTACCATAAATCTCATCAGGAACATACATATTGGAAAACAGATACGAGTTTTCTAAAATTTGACTTTTTGCTTTAAATCACCTCAAACTCTATTCCAAAGAAAGAGGGCTACTTTCCATTTTGTTCTTAAATCCATACTCTAGCAGTATACAACTTGTCCACCTTCTATATTATTCACATCAAACATATATGTTGACTCCATCTTCTCCATATTTCTAGAATTTGTCTATTTCTTTCCTTTCCAAACTACTACTACTGGTCTGTTTCTACCACTCAGTATCTCTTAGACAGACTTTTGATGCATTCTATGAATTCTTTCCCTGCCTCTAGCTTTTGTTGCCTCTACTTTCCCAAAACTTAATGTCAATTACCATTAGATCACAAACATGTTTTTAAAATGTCAATATGTCTCCCTTATCCTATGGAATAAAATTCAAACTCTGTTCAGAATGCTAGCCATCCTTTCAGGCTCAATTCAAAAGTAATTTATTGCTTTAAAAAAACTTCTATGACATAGATATATGATGTACATACTCATAATAATTTAGTGCATTCCTCCTTGCCCTCTTGGTATATAAATAGTATTTTTCTTATCTGATTATAAATTATTTAAGAAAAAGACAAAATCATAGTCACCCTTGAATTTAACCCTGGCATAGTGATACACAGATATGAGACATTCAATATTTGTTTGCTAAATTTAATTTTAAATCTAAAACTCAAAAGTAAGTGTTAAAAGTGTATTTGTTGGTGTGTGTATATTTTATATCTATGAATACATGATTTAGATGAGTTATTTTAAACTTGGCTTTAAAAATTACTTACCTTGATACACAGATGCACACACAACCTCTAATTAGATGCAACAAATAGCAGGTGGATATTAGTGTTGCAACATATATGTTCTTTATAATAAGTAACTAATAACCTACATTGTAAAGCATTTCAATGCTACCATTATCTTGTGTGATGTGAATTTAATAAGAATATAAGTAGTCATATCTTAAGTTTAAAAGTAAATAAAAGAAATAAAAACGATTTTTATGGAATGAAACATTTTATAAAAGATTGAGAATACTATTAATATATTCCATTTTTTAATTCCACTTACTTACAAGCAACCCACTATTACAGATGGAAATACCTTTGCAGCGGATACTAATGCCTCTTTATTTCTTTGCCTTTCTTCCTCCAAACACTTTTCCAATATTTCCTGTCAAATGATAAAACAGTTGGAAAGACATTAAATGTATTATTTGAGGTAACAGAACACATTCTTTCTACACTCTGAGCACAGTTAAAGTATTACCTTCTGTTCTTGAGATTGCTGAATCAAAGCTTCCTTTATTTTTTCTTTTAACAGTTCCTTCTCTGTATCTAGCATTTCAAGGAGCCTCTGATGCTACAAGGAATGATAAGCAAATTATATTATGGCTCTGAGACAGGTATCTGTCAACAAGGAGAGTAGCTGGTAGAATTCATTTGTCCAGAAAATTGAAGTAGTTACAAAAGGAAAAAATGAGAATTTCCCTAAAACGAAGGTTCAGGAGAAAAAAACACTAAATTCATCTTTCTACAATCAGCCAAGATACATTTCTTAGCCCCAAGTTCAACAGAGTATATGACAAGAAATCTAACTTAAGAACAACTACTCAAAATTGAAAAATTAATCAGAAAATGATGTATTTTCCAAGATTAAATTTCGAAAAATTACTCACTAAAATGATTATTATTAGCTTGCAGCAACAGAAGCAATGAAGCAATTAGATGATAACTGAGAAATATAAAATATCTGCTTGATGAACAACTATCATCATAGATTATTTGTGTTCCTAGTAAGGCATTGTTAAAAAAAATTGAAAGATTTATTAATTGTTGTCACCTCAAGATTTTACCACAGATTCAAAAACTAAATCTATGAAATGAGTCCAAGAAATATTATGTAACAGGTAATATAAATGTGTATAAAGTTAATGTATCTATTTTTATTTTGATGTGCTACAGAAAAAGCTCACATAACTATCAACCAGTTACCATGGACCAAGCACTTGATGTTTCAATAGACCTTTCTGAGAATATTCAACTTTTGCAGCCTCAGTATCTCCAATAACGATGAGGCAAATACTGTTCCAGAACAGTGCACTGATGTGGAAACAAAACTAAAAAATATGTATTGCTACTCATATATTTTTCATTCAGTTATTAAAGGCAAGTAAGATATTTTCTCAGATTTGGAATGCTATTTATATCCAAGCCTCCTTTAAATATAAACTCATTGGATATCCAATATTTTAAAATAGATTTGTGTCTTTTAAAGTTGTTCTTATTTAAAACATTTTTAGGGAGACAGTCTATATTGAGAGTAAGTGACCAAACAGTCCATGTCTACTTAAGATAATCTGTTATTCCTGCTTTTAATTATGTTACTTTTCATCTGTGTTTTTCAAGAGAGTAAGTAAAATCACATGAAAGATGTGTTTTTCCTTAAAAACAAATCCAAACTGTGATACAAATCATTACATGACTCTGAGAAATTATGGGTACTATATGAAATTATGTAAGGCAGCTAATTAACAAATGAGTAGACTTACCACATAATTAACGTATAAGTATTAATAACTGAGATTTTAATTTTATATTCTCTGTAAATCTAGATGCACGCAGAATTTCATAGGATCAGAAACAATACCTAACCCTATTTGAAATATACATATGAGAAAATATACAAAGATATTATACCAGGCAAATAATTAGACTTAAAAACTGTATGAGACCAAAAATATTCAATTTAGGCTTGGGAAGAGGTAAACATAACACAAATAAAACAAAAATGTTTAGAATTAAAATACAGAATAAAATTTTTGGAGTTATTAATAACTTAGAAAACAAATGTTCCTTAAAAAGAACTGGTAATGTTAGAAGTCAAACTAATAGAAATCACTAAGTAATTCATTATAAGTGGGCTAAATTTCCTAAGTGGTCCAATAAAAACTAAATTTGAAGAGGGTACATTAGCTAAAATGACAATGTGATGTTTATAAAATTCATTCCTGAATGTCATTTCTTAATTCTGACAGTATCCTACAACAGAAGACAATTTTTGAGCTTGTTTGTGTAAGAACAAACCTGAAATTTACTGTTTGAAAGAAGCATCCTACATAAAATATATCCTAAGTAAAATCACAGATTCACTTGAGAAAATACAACTGGGTTACTGGCTTTTCTCATACTTATAGATAATAATAGCACTTTTGAGGTTCCAGGCACTGTTGAAAGTGCTTTATATGTAGTAGTACCACATTAAACTCTCACAACAAACTGCCGAATTCTTCCACATTCTTCTTATTTTCAGATGAGTCAGCTGAGACTTAGAGAGGCTAGGTAAGTTACTAGGTCTTTATTTCAACAATAATCCTACCCTATATAATCATTATCGGTAGTAGTAATTATCTAATACTAAAAGCAGCCCAGTACATTATACCTCATTATTACCTATAGTAATTAAAAGCTACATAATGTAATCCGTATGTCAAGTAAGGCCTCATTGCCATTTGGCTGTAACAGAATAAGAGTAATCTATGCTTCCGATTTTGTCATTTCAGACTACTACTATTATTAAAATAAGATGTTTCCTGAACAAATTGCAATTGGTATTAGGACAAATGATTCAGAAAGATACTTAATGGCAAGGGGAAAATTTCCCCTCCCCTCCCCTCCCCTCCCCTTCCCTCCCCTCCCCTCCCTTCCCCTCCCTCCCCTCCCCTCCCCTCCCCTCCCCTGCCCTGCCCTGCCCTTCCCTTCCCTCCCCTCCCCTCCCCTGCCCTGCCCTGCCCTGCCCTGCCCTGCCCTTCCCATTCTTCTTTATTCATTCCTTCCTTCCTTCCTTCATCCTCTATGTTGCCCAGACTGGACTTGAACTCCTGGCTTCATGTGATCCTCCCACCTTAGCTTCCCAAAGTGCTGGGATTACAGGATGAGCCGCCGTGCCCAGCCAAAATTTAGATCTTAAAATTAAACATAGATAATTTGTAAAGCAAACAAATAATTCACAAGAGGCTATTCAAAACCCATGTGTTTCAATACAATGTATTTTGATTTTTGTAAGACTGATATATGCTCATTATAAAAAATATAAAGAAGTGAAAATATCCCAGTGTCCCATTACCCAAAGAAAATCACTGATAACACTTAGGCAAACATCCTTCTGGAGAGCTGTTTATTCAATATTTTATATAATGAATTTATATATAAGTAGTATTCTGTAACCTTTTGGAACTCTATAGTATATAGCATTATTCTTTTTGTTTTGTTAAATTTAATATATATTTTACCATTCTCCTTTTTATAGACTTTTATGTTGTTCCCAATTTTTCACTTTAAAAAATGTTTATTTTTATGCATGCATCTTTGTGAAATTGTACAATTATAGCCTTATGAGAAATTCCTAGAAACCATATTAACAGGCTGAAGGTTGAGCAAGTTGTATATTTTAATGCATACTCTCAAACTGTACTCTAGCAAAAATACCAAATTACACCTTTTCTAACAATAACAGGACAACGGGCAAAGGAGACTCCCCTACAGAAAACAATCATGGACTGCCAGAGCACCTAATCAATGAAATTGTTCCACTCTTGGAGAAAGGAATCCTTGCTCTTTTTGTCCAGAAATACTTTGTATCTGCTACTGACCAATCACTGTTATTTATTTCATCATTCTCCCTTTCTGAAGTGGACATTTTTGTTGCAGTTACTTGGTTCTTTTCTCTCTCTTATAAATCAGAATTATAGTTTTTTGAGGCCGCACAAGGTGGCTCACATATGTAAACCCAGCACTTTGGGAGGCCAAGATGGATGGATCACTTGAGTCCAGGAGTTAGAGACCAGCCCGGGCAACAGGATAAAACCGTGGTCTCTACAAAAAAATACAACAATTAGTTGGGCATAGTGGCATGAGCCTGTAGTCCCAGCTACTTGGGAGGCTAAGTTGGGAGGATCACTTGAAGTAGGAGGACCTCTCACCTTCATAAAACTGTATTTATATTAAAACTACAAAAAACTATATAAATATAGTTTTTTGAAGGGGAGGGCTCTCCCTACTTCTAAACTGTCTCTGTTTCCTTGAAGTTTCTTTTTATTTGTTCCTTTGAGTCAGTAACTTCTTCATTTGAGATGTTTTTGTTTGGTAACAATTTTATGTTCATTTATATTAAAACCTCAAACAGAAAAATGCTGAAAGGAAATTCTGTGTATGTGAGTAAGCTTCACAATAGCCACAAAAGATATTGAACTGATTTTTCATGGTTGTGGAGATTCCCAAATGTTAGTTCTATGAACATTTTCTCTTGAGCCAGTCTTTTTGCTTAGAAAAAAATTCTCCAGTCTCTTAAGTGGTGCTATGAGCCAAACTTTCAGCATTCTAGGAGCAATGTGTTAAGAGGCATAGTGGAGACCTCACTGCTCAGTAATGGTCTTTGGTTTAATCTCCTTGTTTTTAGTCCCATGCCTTGCTCTTGCCCTTTATGAGTTCAGAGATTATCTGCTTTGATTTCTCTTTTGTTCTGCTAGGATGTACAATAAATCCCCTAGTTAAGTATGATGTGTGTTAAGGAATAAATATTTTTTACCTCCCTCCCCCACAAATTTATATGCCAAAGCCCTAATCCCCAATGTGATAGCAGTTGGAGATGGGGCCTTTAGGAGGTAACTGGGATTAGACAAAGTCCTGAGGATGGGGAAAAGAGCACTCGCGTATTCTCTCTGTGTGAGCACACAGCCAAGACTGTGGCTACCTACAAGCCAAAAGAAGAGGCCTACTCAGCAGAAACCTTGATCTTGGACTTTCTAGCCTCCAGAACTGTAAATATAAATTCCTGTTGTTTAAGCCAGTCTATGGTGGGTGCTTTTTAATGGCAGCCTGAGCTGACTGAGACAGTGCACAAGAGGACTTGAGAACACAACTGCTAGTCATATAGACTTTCAACCATTCCTCTTGTTTTCAGAGCTATACAGCACCTAGTGCTTGTATTTCCCACAGCTTTCTAGGGTTTTGCAGGACAAACCAGCTTCTTCATGGGTTTCACCTCAATAAGCTAAGATTACAACTTGCTCTTCTCTGCTAAATTAGTTGATAATTGTACACCTGTTATCTCCTTTCATAGTTATTTGTCCTAGTTAGTTTTTGCTTGTTGGTTTTGTTTCGGTCCCTTATATGTGTCATTTTACTGATCTGGGGTTTTTTGTGGGGGAGGGGGACTAAGAGGTAGGATAGATTAGTGTTTTAATTCACCAAATCCAGCTCTGAACCTTTGGCAAGTTATCCAACTATCCCAAATAATTCTAATACCCACCATAATATGCTGTTAGGAGGATTGCATAGTCAAATGTCAACTAAATTATCACTCATTTGATATTAGTTCCTAAAACAGTACATGCCAATAATAAATCTAAGTGTTAGATAGCACTCCTTTGAAAACAGATTTAAACAAACTGATATATAACTAAGACTAACATTTTAAATTTCTTTAAGATGACACTAGGTCAAAACATCAGAAGGAGAAAAGGTATAGTTTAGCTAATAAAGAAGTGAGAAAGAAAAAGAAAAGGTGTTGGTGCAGGATATTCTCTGCTGAAATGCTTCTATTGTTTTAATAAATTTCTAATCTTTCTATCCTCCCATGATTGAGCAGAAGGAACTGCTTTTAAAAAAAAAAATCTTTAAGAAAAACTTTTATTTTAGGTTCAGGAGTACATGTGAAGGTTTGTTACATAGTTGAACTTGTGTCACGTTGGTTTGCTGTACAGATTATTTCATCACCAAAGTACTAAGCCCAGTACCCGAGAGTTATCTTTATTGCTCCTCTCCCTCCTCCTACCCTCCACTCTCAAGTAGACCCCAGTGTCTGTTGTTCCCTTCTTTGTATTCATGAGTTCTTATCAATTAGCTCTCACTTGTAAGTGAGAATGTGTTGTATTTGGTGTTCTATTCCTGCATTAGTTTGCTAAAGGTAATAGCCTCCAGCTCCATCCATGTTCCCACAAACACGTGATCTTGTCTTTTTAATGGCTGCAGAGTATTCCATCTTAAAATGGCAGAGGAAGTACCTCCGCGGGACTTATATTGGTACTATTCTCCAAATGCAATCTCTCTTGGCTAGCTGGCTGCCCAAATTTTATTTTGTGATTATTTTTCACAAATATTACATTCATATAATCTTACCCATCACAATTGAAATACGAATTGTTCAGTGGAAAATAAATTTCTAAATTATCGTAACTATGCCCCTAAGACAAATTTCAGCATTTAAAAATTGTGATAGAAAATTTTTGTAAATGAATGCCATTCTTCTCCACCTCAATAGGTTTCATAACATATAATTTAATTTGTTGCTGATGGGCAGACTTCTATAACGAATAAATTCTTTAGCACAACAATTCCATCAGGGGCACATTAAGTGAATTTACTGTGCTATCATTCAGTTTGTTAAATAACCCTATAGAAACAGGGCTATGCTATTCCTAGAGGCCTGTGACCAATGATGCTATCACCATTCCCCTTCACTGAAGGGTTTAGGGATATAGAAATAGTATGGTCAAAAACCAGTAAACAGGTTCTGCAAACTATTGTTACCACAGTATAGAAATTTATAGTTTGCGTTTAGCAAGTTTTATAAACATTTATTAATTTTTATAACTATTGGACCTAATAACAAAACATCAGGGTTGTACTTTGTATTTATTTTCCATTTCGTTTGTCTAATAATTTTTATTCTATTTTGTACAAGTATAAACCCCTGACAGATTTTTAAAAAATGTTCTGTCATCCCAGTTAGCTTGAGAAACACTGTCAAGAGTACATGCTAATAGTGGCACCACACATGTCTAAGTCTCAGTGCTAATGGCTCTACTGCTAGTCTCATTTTTCTTTTTTTCATCATATTAGGTTTTCTTTCTATTGTCATTAAGTACTATCAAACATTCTGTTGCCTGCCATCCATCTGTTGCTTCCATTAGACCTTACAGAAGTTTACCCTCTAGAGGCTCTCAGTGTATTTATAGAATAAACAAACATAGGCATTCATGCATGCATGAATGAATGAATAAATAAAAAATTACAAACCACTTTGCTCTATATAGCCTCTTTTATTTGCTTTTATTACAGATGCCAATGGAGTATTAATTTTTAGTATGCTGTTCAGAAGTCTGTTGAAATATTAGTTTAAAGCTTAGAAAAGAGGTCGAGGGCAGCAAATTATAGTTCTGACAAGAAAAATGGAATATATCCTAGACTAAGAAATGTTGCTTAACTCTCTTTTTTTTTTTTTTGCCTAGGACTCCTTTTCTGGATTATCCTAATTAACTATTAAGGGAGAAGAATTAGAGACCTAGATCATAACAGATAATTCATTAAACTAGACCTGGGAAAAAAATTCAAACCATGAGATTTCTATTTAAAAAAATTAGAGAACATCCTATTTCCATCTCCTTCCAACTTTAACAGATACAGGATACTAGAAACCTTTTTAGCTGTGAGCCGTCATAACATACAATCCATATACAGACACATAAACAATGTTACCTCATAAAAGCCTCCTGCATATATTCAATACTATTTTATACAGGCCTTTCTTCTTATAGGAAACAGTTATAGAACTGATACCAAAATCTGAGACAAGTTAGGCACTTATTCTCTTCATTCATGAAAACAAACAAACAAACAAACATACTTTGACATTTGATCATAAAATACTTTAAAACCTTGTTCCCTTGTAAAATATAATCAATTATTTCAAAAACGGTCTTTTGTTTCTGATCTAAAATGAACATATATACTTTCTCATTGTTATCTACTGAGAATATAGAATACTCACTCAAGAGTTTATCTTCCCAGTTCATACTCATTTTTTGATTTGGTATTCTAGATCCATGCCCTCTGAGTGAACAAGAAAGATAAACCAAAAAGTTGAAAGTATATTTTTGTTCTTGGTATGTGAAACTTTCAGACTTCACAAATCTTTTTCAGATCACTCTAAAAATCTAGAACAGTTTTATTACACAGTATGTGCCATTCACAGCGGCAAATTGGCCTTTTCAGAAAATTGCCCTTGTATTATTTTTTTCAGAGTTATGTATAATGACACTGTGAATTCAAATCTTCAAAGAATCCTTGGCAAACAAGGACTCAAAAACTCTGGTCTATTGTATAACGTCTAAACTCCTCATCATTTCATACACATAACAATGTGGTTCTAAGTAAAATATGTCACGAATTTTCATGAATGCCTGAAATAGCCTTTTCTCAACACTTCATTCTTAATACTCCTCAGTCTATCACCTAGAGAATGACAACGCATCCTCCTGGATTCAATGTGTTCTCTGAATACACAGGCAGTAGTAATTCCTCTTTTGTTTGTGGTTGGTCTTTTCACACTTAAACATTTACTGCAGAATGCTTTGAACATATAGATAGTAAACAAAATAGAATAATGGAACTCTCTACACCTATCACTCACTTTCAACAATTATCAATATTCTGCCAATCTTTTATCATCTGTAATGCCACCCACTACCTACTTGATAATGATTATTTTAAAAGTCTTTTTCTTTAGGTAGATTTTACATATATGAAAATACACAAATCTTAGCTATACAAGCTTGAACAATCTTAGCTATGCACTTAGCTGTGTGATACACATCTTTATCATGACATAGAATATTTTCATTACCCAAAAAATTCCCTTTCCCCAAAGCAACAAGTGTTCTGATATTTTCCTCTGACCATATATCACATGCATACACATATACATATATATATGAGATATATATATGAGATATATGATATATATGAGATATATATATGAGAGAGATATATATATACACATGAGATATATATGAGATATATATATATACACATATGAGAGAGAGATATATATACACATATGAGATATATATATATATATGTATACATACACACAGGCTTCATCGCTCTGCCAAAAAATCTGTAATACTCATCCATACAAGTTAGTTGTATGTATCAGTAAATTCCTTTTTATTACTAAGCAGCATTCCTCTGTATAAATATACCATAATTTGTTTACCCATTCTCCTGAAGATAGACATTTAGAACTGCTTCCAGTTATTGGCTACTGTGAATAAAGGAATCACAGACATTCTTTGATATACATTTTTATTTCTTTTGCATACTTAGTAGGACTGTGTATGATTAAATTTATAAAAAACTGTCAAATCTTTTTCCAAAATGGTTGTACTACCAGTAATGTATGAGAGTTCCTATTAATTTACACACTCACCATTTGGTGATTTCAGTCTGTTAAATTTTAGCTATTTTACTGGATGTACAAAAGTCTCTCTCTCATTATGGTTTTAAACTGAATTTCCATAATGACTAAAAATGTTAAGTATTTTATCATGTGCTTATTGGCCATTCTTATATTTTCTAAGTTCTTTCTTTTTCTTTTCTTTTTTTTTTTTTTTTTTTTTTTTTTTGAGATGGAGTCTTGCTCTGTCACCCAGGCTGGAGAGCAGTGGCACGATCTTGGCTCACTGCAACCTCCACCTCCCGGATTCAAATTATTCTCCTGTCTCAGCCTCCTGAGTAGCTGGGATTACAGGTGCACACCACCACGCCTGGCTAATTTTTGTATTTTAGTAGAGACAGGGTTTCACCGTGTTGCCCAGGCTGGTCTTGAACTCCTGAGCTCAGGCAATCCGCCCACCTCGGCCTCCCAAAGTGCTAGGATTACAGGCGTGAGCCACTGCTCCCAGCCTCTAAATTTTTTCTTTTAAGCCTGCTGTTCATATATTTTTAGTTCTCTTTTTTTATTACTGATTTATATACTCTGGATATAAACTCTTTGTCAGATATATGTTTCATGAATGTTTTTCCCAGTTTGTGGCTTGCCTTTTCACTTTCTTAATGATGTCTTTCAAGTAGCAGAAGTTTTCAAGTTTTCAATCAGATAAACCCTAATTTATCGATTTTTCTTTTATGACTATTGCTTTGTGTGTACCACAAAATTATTGCCTACATCCAGGTCAAGAAGATCTTCTACTGTATTTTCTTCTAAGAGCTTTTACATATAGGTCAATGATCAATCTAAAATTAAGAGTTGTGCAATCATTAACTCTAGCTTTAGACTGGTATACTAATTGGTTTGTATACGAACTGGGTTAAAGGCATAGGACACATGCAGGCTGTGTTCATTTCACAGCAGGGCTCTGTAATTAGGCAATAATTACTTACCATCATACCTAGTGAGGCAATATGGGAGAAACAAAACAGGCCATACAGCTTCACTATTATTCCTACTTATAAACAAAGCCACTAGTTAAGGAAAAGTTAATATTGCTTTGTTTTCACGGTAACATAGGTTACATGTGGTCATTTACCCTGATTGCTCTGGTTAACAAGATGGCTTTCCAGAATTTAAAAAGGCATTAGGAAAATTAACTGAAATCTATACCAGTAGACCTCATCCAAAAATAGTGAAGAGTTTATTACATTTTGCTTATCTAAGATATTCTATTAATTGCTTTTCAAAAATTGAAATTTTAGTAGACTTTTTTTTTTTTTAGCAAATTGAAGAAATAAATGCAAACCATGGAGTCCCACTAATACATTAGATACTTAATGCAAAGGTGTCAGAGATAATCTTTTGAAAAAATTAACCTAAAATAAAGGCACTCAGAAACAGTTGTTTTCCCCTCCTTTGGAAAAAATTCTTCCAAGTGAAAATGTTTGATTCAGACTCAAATATAAATAT
The DNA here is from genome assembly GCF_000001405.40 of Homo sapiens. Taxonomy (NCBI): domain Eukaryota; kingdom Metazoa; phylum Chordata; class Mammalia; order Primates; family Hominidae; genus Homo; species Homo sapiens. Next base: position 28,439,780 of record NC_000012.12, on the reverse strand, counting down.
AGAGGTTCTGTGGTTTTTACTTGATTCCTGTTAAAAAAAAAAAAAAAGAAAAAAGAAAGAAAAAAAAAACCTCTTCTTTCCTGGAATGTGAGTCACAAAAGATATTGTAGACAAATTTAATCACAATCACACATGGCAGTTTTCTGTACATTACATTTTAGACTAAGCAATCATGGTGGCTCATGTTCAGGTATAAACTTCCACTGACCATACATCCACAAACTTCACATTATTTTGTGTATTGTGTGTGGAGGGGGTTAGTATATATTCTGTAACAGAAACTCATGAGCATCTTATTTTACCTTCTATAAAGCTTAAACATTGAGTAAGATCAAGTGATCTGGTAAGATTGTCTTAAACACACTCGTAAATACGCCTCCACTTAACATGACTTAAAAGACACTAAATAAATTTAATAAACTTCTTAAAATAAAATGATTCACGGACATTTCACCCATTTATGGGCCAACAGATTAAATAATATTTGGAAACAAAACCTAACATAGATAAACTGTGAGATTAAATCTACTTAAAGAAGTTACCACAAGCCCAAAATAATAGCAATAAGCTTCTTACTATGAATAAAACATAAAACTATAATAGCAGATTTACTTCAACCAAATAGCCATATTACTGATAGGCATGAGAAAAAAATTAGCAAATAAGTTGTTCTTCCTATTTAAGTAGGACTTTGACTTAAGGGAGTGATTAGGAATGACACAAAAATTGGGAGATGCATCAGCATTAAAAAGGCAGGCCTGGTTTATATTTTCATATGATGTCTCTATATTTGGATAGTGTATGTTTTATTAAATGCCAAAGATTGTGACAATCCTCAATTTAAGCAGAGGATTATTTCTGTTTCAACCATTTTCAAGTGAAATAGCTTTTGAAAATGTATCCCAATTCTATTATTCCCTATGAGTGCCTATGTACAACTTAGTACAGATGCTCCTCAACTTAAGATGGGGTTATGCCATGATAAATCCATTCTATGTCAAAAATATCATAAATTGAAAATGCATCCTAAGTTGTAAGTCTCTCAACTCATGACAGGGTTATGGTTTCTACTGAATGCATACAGCTTTCTCACATCAGAAAGTTGAAAAATCCTAAGTCAAACTGTCATTAAGTCAGGGAGCATCCATAAACTTATTTCAACCTAACAGTTGCCTTCAAATGGGCATTTGAAATAAATAATGCATGTATATAAGATAATTATTTTAGCAAGTATCTTAGTCCATTTGTGCTGCTGTAACAAAATACCACAGACTGGATGATTTATACATAATAAAAAATTCCCACAGTTTTGGAAGCTAGAAAGTCTAAGATCAAGACACCAGCAGGTTAGGTTCTGTATCTGGTGAGGACCTGTTCTCTGCTTCAAAGATGGTCCATGAATGCTATGTCCTCTTGAGCAGACAAAGGCCATGTTCTCACATGGTAGAAGAGCCAAACTTGCCCCTCAAGCCCTTTTGTAAAGTACTAGTCCCATTTATATGGTGGAGCCCTCATGACCTAATCAACTCTCAAAGGGCCCACCTCTTACTACCGGAGATATGGACATTACAAAGATGCTGAAGTTGCAGTAGGAATTTTGGAGGAGACACAAACATCCATACCATAGCAGCAGAGAAAAGAAAGAAACAGATTAATGCACACTTGCAAACTGTAGCACAATTAACATAGTACTTTTGAGGAAACAATTTGATGCTTAAGTGTCATAAACATCCTTACACTCTACAATTCCTATTCCTAAAAATGTATCATCAGAAAATACTACGTATTTAGTCCTCAATTTTTCATGCATGTCTATTTTATAAACTCCACTTTCATAAATTATATGGTAATGTGCCTAATACAGTTAGAATCAGACCTTTAAAAAAATCAGTTGACAAAAGAATACTTTATTGCAGAGTGAGAATCTACCAGACACAAAACCAGTTTCAGGTGCATAGTTCTTATCATTTGTATTCCGTTTCTATGACAGAACATTGAATTTTACCCAAATTATTTTGTTAAAAAAAAAGGAAAATGAAAAGTGTTGAAACCAGTGATAAGAGGCACAGGATTCATAAGCTGAATGCAAGTGTGATAAAATGAAAACATTAAACATTTAAAAAGATATGAATTGTCATCCTTAGCTAGATATTTATTGGACACAGGATGGTCTAAATGAATTCTATTCAAAGACCAGTACATAATATTGAAATAACATAATTGAAGAATCTAGCTGTAAAGGTAAGGTAGAATTATCAATGTCAAAATGTTTAGCTCTCTTGGAAATAAAAACTCTTATATCACGAAAGGTTATTAATCAGCCTTATATATTTAACAATGGATTATTTGTAAAAGCAGGGCACTTCATGTAATACAAAGGAATAAAAACAATATGCATGAAGATATATAAGGCAACATTCTTTAGAAAGTGCAAAACCCAAAATATTTTAAATGTACAACAAGGGAGTATGGTACAATTAAATAAAAACTATGCCTCAAGCTAGATATATGTTTATAAAATGTTATTTGAAGAAAAAATATAAAATTATTGAAACCATTATCATCATTGTAACTATGCAAAATAATGTACACGTGAATAAATATTGAAAAGGCCCACAAAAAAAGGACACTTTTACTGATAAATCATGGATGGAATTTTATTTTTTTAATTAAATATTGTTTTAATAACAATCTAAAACATGAAGTATAGAACAACTTTGTAGAAAATGGCATTACAAGTATTAGGAGTGACCTACAAGGAAAAGAGACTGCACCACTGCATTCCAGCCTGGGAGACAGAGCGAGACTCTGTCTCAAAAAAAAAAGATTTCTGGGATCAAAGAAGATTAACAGCAGCTGTACAATTTTAATATAAAATCTTTAATAAGGCGATGGGCATTTTAAACTACAAGATTGGAGGAGAGTACACATGAATTCCTAAAAGTATGCATTACCATGTTTTTCTACAGAACATGTTAGATTTCTATGCTGAGATACATAGTATGAGATAATAATAAAAAAAAAATCTGGAATTGTGTACCCTGCAAAATTGTCCCTGAAAAGTGAAGGATAAATACAGACTTGATCAGATAAAATGAGATAATCTGTTGCTAGAAAATCTGCTCAACAAGACATGTTAAAAGAGTTCTTCAGAGACAAGGAAAATGATGCAAGTTATACAGATCCACATAAAAGAGGGCACTAGAGAAGTAATAAGTGTAGGTAAAATTTTAAAAGTTTTATTTTTGTTATTCTTAATTGATCTAGTAGTTTGCTTAAAATAATAGCAACAATATATTTGATATGTACACTTATGCATATATTAATATCTGCTGAGTATAAGTGAAATGAATGACAACAAAGATACAAGGGACAGAATGGAAGAATTTGAATCATTATGTTATTATAAGGATTAACACTATCTGTGAAATGGCATACTATCCTCTGAAAGTTAAATTGGATTAGTTGTAAATGTACAGTACAAACTTTAAGGCAACCATAAAAAGAAATTTAAAAAGAGAAAGATTTGATAAGTTTGATGAAAAAGAAAAAAAGAATCATATAAAATGGTCAGATAAAACCACCACAAAAGGCAGAAAATTGTGGAAGACAAAATTAGGAAAAAAAGGGTAACAAACAGAAAACAAGAATAGTTATGGTAGACACTATGCTAAATAGATCAATAATCACTTTAAACATCAGTGATCTAAATACAACAATTAAAAGACAGAGATTGTCAGAGTGGAGCAAAAAAGGCTGAATTATATGTTGTCCAAAATAAAAAATTTAATGTAAAGATGTGTAGATTAAAATTAAGGGTTGGAGAAAGATATACTATGTTAACACTAAAAGAAAGACAGACTAGCTATATTTCAGACACAGGAAACCTCAGAACAAAATAAATTATCAGGGATAAAAAGGAACATTACATAATGATAAAGGGGTCAATTTCCCCAAAAAGACATAACAATTTGGATGCAAACTCACCCACAACCAAAGTATCAATATGGGAGAAAAAGCTGATAGAACTGCAAGGAGAAAAGATAAGTCCACTATTATAGTTGGAAACTTCAATACACCTCTATCAGAAATGAACAGAACCAGATGGCCACAAATCATAAGAACCTCAGCTGAACTGAACAAAACTGTCATCAACTGCATATACTGGCTATCTGTAGACTTCATCCAACAACAGCACAATAAACATTCTTTCTCAAACTCAAATGGAACATTCACTAGCATAGACCACATTCTAAGCCATAAAACAAACCTTCAAAAATTTAAAAGAATAGAAATCACAGAATACTCACTCTCCCACCATAAAGGAATTCAAGTAGAAATTAGGATAGTTATAGATGTAGGATAGCTGAAAAATCCCAAGATACCTGGATAACAACACACTTCTAAATAACTCATGGGATAAAAAACATGTCTCAAGAGAAATGTAAAAACACTCTGAACTAAAAGAAAAAAAAAACGCAATTTATCAAAATTTGTGGGAGGTACTAAAAGCAGTGCCCAGAATATATTTTTAGCATTAGAAAAATACTAAATCAATAATCTTAGCTTTCATTTTAGGAGAAAAAGAGGAGCAAATTAAAGTAAGCAAAACAAAATAAATATACAAATAAGAGCAGAAATCAATGAAATTGAAAACAGAAAATAGAGGAAAAAAAATCAACAAAACCAAAAGCTGGTTATTTGGTTTTTATTTGATCAATAAAAATCAGTAAGTCTCTAGCCAGGCTAACCAAGGAAAAGAGAGACGGCACAAATTGCTAATGTTGGAAGTAAAAGAGAGGATATCATTGCATATCCCAGGGAAATTAAAAGGAAAATAAAATAGTACTATGAACAAATCTATGTCTACAAGTTTTTTAACTGAAACAAAATGGACCAATTTTTAAAAATGCACAAATCTGCCAAAATTCACAAAGAAGAAATAGATAACATGGACAGGCCTATACTTATTAAAGAAATTTAATCAAAACATTAACAACCTTCAAAAACATAAAGCACCAACTTCAGATGGGTTTGGTGAATTCTATCAAATATTTAAGGAAAAATTATACTAATTCAATATAATTTTGTCCAGAAGATAGAAGCAGAGGGAATACTTTCTAATGTATTCTAAGAGGCCAGCATTACCCACCCCCCAATCAAAAAAAAAAAAAAAAAAAAAAAAACCAGACCAAGGCCTAAGGCCTAATAAGAAAACTGCAGAACAGTATGAACATAAATTCAAAAATTAGCAAATTAATTGGATTAGCAATGAAATCCAACAATGTATAAAGAGAATAATATGTCACAATGAACTGGGTTTTTCTCCTAGGTATGCAAGGATAGCTCAACATTCAAAAATCAACTAATGTAATCAATCACATGGACAGCTAAAGAGGAAAAAAAAATCACATGATCATATCAATAGATGCAGATAAAGCATTTGACAAAATCGGTATTCATGATTTTTTTAAAAAAAATTATCGAACTATAAAACAAGAGAAATGTCCTCAATTTGATAAAGAACATCTACAAAAAATCTACAGCTAACATACTTAATGGTGACTTGATGCTTTCCTGTTAAGACCAATAACAAGGAAAGGATGTTCCAACTTGGGAAGAAAGAAATAAAACCATCTTTTGTTCACAAAAGACATGACTGTCTATATAAAAAATCCCAAAGAATCAACAAAAACTCCTGGAAGTAATACGGAATTATAGTAAGGGTGCACAGCGCAAGATTTATATAGAACAGTCAATCTTTTTCCTTTACACTAGCAAAAAACAAGTGGAATTTGAAATTAAAAACACATTACTATTTACACTAGTCTCCAACAAAGGAAATAGTAATTACCAATCTACCAAAATATGCATAAGATCTATATGAGAAAATCTACAAAGCTCTGATGAATGAAATCATTACTAAATAGAGAAATATTCTGAGATCATGAATCAGAAGATCCAATATTGTCAAGATGTCAGTTCTTCTCATCTTGGTCTAGAGTTTCAATGAAATTTCAATTAACATTCTACCAAGATATTTTATGGATATCAACAAACTGATTCTAAAGATTACAGGGAGAGACAAACACTCAGAATAGCCAATACAATACTGAAAGAGAAGGACAAAGTTGGAGGACTGACATTACCTGGCTTCAGTACTTACTATAAAGCTATAGTAATCAAAACTATGATACTGGCACATGAATCAACAAATAGATAAATGGAACAGAACAGAGAGAAAATAGAACTGCATATAGTCAACTGATATTTGAAAAGTGGCAAAGGAATAAAATGGAGAAAAGATAGTCTTTTTAAAAAATTGGTGCTAGAACATCTGAACATCCACACGCAAAAAACTATATCTAGACACAGACCATATAACTTTCATGAAAATTAATTCAAAATAAGACCTAAACATAAAACACAAAAAACTATAAAACTGCTAGAAGATAATATATGAAAGCAATCTAGATGATCTTAAGTACAGCAATGACTTTTAAATATAACACCAAAGGCACAATTCGCACACACACACAAAAATGGGATAAGCTGAACTTCATTAAAATTAAAAACATCTGCACCATGAAAGATAGTGTCAGGAGAATGAAAAGACAAGCCACAGACTGGGATAAAATACGTAAGATTGATGTATCAGATAAAGGACTATTTTCCAAAGCATGCAGAAAACTCTTAAAACTCAACAACAAAAAAAGGCCTGACTTAAAAAAAAATGGGTAAAAGACTTTAGCAGCTCACCAAAGAAGATACAGAGATGGCAATAAGCATATGAAAAGATGTTTCACATCACATTTCCCATATCAGGGAAATGTGAATTAAAACGAGATACTATTACATACCTGTCAGAATGGCCAAAATCCAGCATTTGAAATCACCAAAGGCTTTTGAGAATGTGGAGCAAGAGCAATTCTCATTTATTGCTGGTGCATAACCAAAATGGTACAGACACTTTGGAAGAGAGTTTAACAGTTTCTTACAGAACTAAATGTGGTTTCAACATACAATCCAGAAATCACACTTCTGTGGTATTTACCCAAATAAGTTGAAAACTCATGTCCACAAAAAACATGCACATGGATGTTTACATCCATTTTATCTATTGCCAAAACTTGGCAGCAACCACGATGTCAGTATTACTTTGTTTTTACACTGCTATAAAGAAATACCTGAGACTGAGAAATTTACAAACCAAGGTTTAATTGATTCACAGTTCCACATGGCTTGGGAGGCCTCAGAAAACTTACAGTCATGGTGGAAGGGGAAGCAAGCAAGTCTTACGTGGCAGCAGGCTAGAGAAAGAGTGTGAGCATGCAGGAAAAACTACCATTTATATAACCATCAGATCTCATGAGAATTCACTATCACGAGAACAGCATGGGGAAACTGCCCTCATAAACCAAACACTTCCCTCCCTAGACAGGAGGTGATCAGGTCCCTCCCTCAACATATGAGAATTACAATTCGAGATGAGATTTGGGTGGGGACACAGAGCCAAACCATAGCAATGTCCTTTAGTATGTAAATGGATAAATAAACTGTGGTACATCCAAAGAATGAACTATTATTCAGCGCTAAAAAGAACTCATCTGCAGAAAACCACCATGGCACATGTTTACCTATGTAACAAACCTGCACATCCTGCACATGTATCTTGGAACTTAAAATTAAATTAAATTTAATTTAAAAAAGAAAAAAAGAAATCATCTATCAAGCCACAGAGAAAACCTAAACGCATATTACTAAGTTAAAGAAGTCAGTATTAAAAAGTTGCAGCATATTGTATGGTTCCAAATATACGACCTTCTGGAAAAGGCAAAACTATAGAGACAGTAAAAAGATCAGTGTCAGGGATTGAGGGGAGAGAAGGATGACTAGGTGGAACACTGAGAAATTTTAGAGCAGTGAAACTATTTTGTATCATATTACATTATTGGATATATGTCATTACACATTTGTCAGAACTCTTAGAATGTACACCACCAAGACTGAACCCCAATGCAAATTATGGTGATAATGATTTATTAACGTAGATTCATGGAATGTAACAAAGGTACAGGGAATTCACAATGGCAGAGAGGTCACTTTGGGGGACAGGAGGTATATGGGAACTTTCTGCACTTTCCATTCAAGGATGCTGCGAAGAACAAAAATCTAGCTAGAACCTGCTTATAAGAGATATATCTAAACCCAGAAAAACTGAAAATTAATGAATGGAAAAATAGGTATTAGGAAAACTGTAACCAATATAAAACTGAAATAGTTATATTAATATCTACAATAGACTTTAGGCAAAAGTAGACATCACTACAAAATAACAACAGGAAGACAGAACAGTTTTGTTTGTACCTAATAACATAACTTCATATTCCATAAAGCAAGCAGTAAGAGAAACAGAAGGAAAAACTAACAGACCTATTATTGTAGCAGTGCATTTTAACATGCTTCTCTCAATAATCAATGGATCAAGCAATGGAAAATCAGTATGTTAACAAAATGTGAATTTAACAGGCTTGATTAATAGATACATAGGAAACACTAAAACCAACAGTTGGAGAATATACATTCTTTTCAAACATATGTGAAACATTTATGGAAACTCACCCAATAGTAGGACATTATCACATTTCAAAGAATTAATATCATATGTGTGTGTGTGATATATAATTCTCTGAACACAATGTAATAATTAAGACTCAACAATGAAGAGAGATTAAAAATGTCATACTTGCAAAGTTTTTAAATATTCTACATAAAATTTTGTGCTGAAGTAGACACACTTACAAGCCTAAGTCAATGGCAATACTGAGCAAGTACAGGCCATTCATGCCATGGGCAGAGCATTTCTCTATATAAACTAATACGAAGACAAGTAGTCAAAAATGTAGTCTCTGCAGGTAAGCAGACCCCAAGAAAAGCATGGGGAGAAGGAACTGAAGCAGCCAAGTTTATTTATTTTATCTAAACTCACAAATTACATAAGGAACTTTCCTTCACTGGGTAACAGTGAGTATGACATAAAGATGTCTAGAAATATTTCTCCAGGAAAAGTAACTACATATGGAAACAGAGAAGTGTGGAATAATTTTTAGGCTAATACATGTTTATGGAAAAATTCACAAATGGATTATCAATTCTGTAATGAAGGTCACTATCCTTTAAATAGTGAATGCTAACATTTTCATATACAAAAATTTAATGGAATCTATACATAATTTCTTAGGTTTATTCTAATATATACAGTATGTAATTTCTTCATAACAAATTCAATGTAATGTCTACTTTTTCCAATAATGTTGTGTGTCAATAAATATAATGTTAGTAATAAGATTTCCATTCCAGAGTGTGAACTCCTTTAGGGCAGTGAATATATCTGATTTTGGAAATCATACAAGAATGTGCTAAGAATTATTCTGACAATAGAGAGTAAATCCTACATCTAAGGTAATATTACCTTGAAGTTTGTAAGTCAAAACACTTATTTTAAGCATTTTCTCCCTTGTTCTATTCCATCCTTTCCTTTTAAAAACTATCATTTTGATTTTTGGGGGATGCCTTGACCTTTATAAAAATCATAAACTAAGTTTTCTATTTAAGATTATTTTAATCATACATTTCCCACTTATTAGAAATAGCTATTGTAACATAAAATGAAAATAAATATTTGTAATAGTATTAAAAGTTAACACTTATAATAGTCTTCCCTAAATTACTGTACTAAGACACCCAACAAAATAAGCCACATTTAGAAGGCTAGAAAAAAAAATTCCTGATGAAATGTACCATACAGAATGAAGTGACTCAAAATCACAAAAGGTCAAAATAATTTCCACTAAAGATTCTACTTGATAGTTCTTAAAAATACATTACAGATTGACTACAAGAGAGCATCAGAGAGTTTTTTTGGGATGCGATTAAATTTTTTTTTAATCTTGATTTGTAATTACAAAATTGTGTAAGTCTGTCAAAATTCATAGAGTGGCACATCTACAATGTGTGCATCTTACTTTACATGAGTAATATTTCAATCTACCTGAAGAAAAAATACACATGCATTTAAGGAACTTAATTTTTAACTCATACTATTTCTATGTATAATACCCTTACTTTCTCTGCTAGTCAAAAGCCAGTCTTTCAAGGCCCTTTTAAATGTCAATTCTTTTGTGAATTCTTCCCTAAAAAGTCAAGAATTGACTGGTCTGTTATCTGTAATCCCAGAGCATGTTTCCATCACGAATGTATTGTTTATTATATATTATAATTCATTTTATATGTTTCCCATGATAATGTTACTAGCTTATTAAAGGCAAAGAATGTTTTATATTAAAAAAATCCTTTCTAGTATGTTGCCTGGTACATTGAAAGCCCTCAAATTAACTTCATAATATCATTACAGATACTCTTGTTCAAGAGCAGTACTACTGGTTATCAAAATGTCTGCCTAAATATAAAGTAGAAAGAATACTGGATTAAAACTTGACTGTGATAAAAACAAGTAACTGTCTTTTTCTGAATCATGATGAAAGAAAAAATCAGTGGTCACCTAAAAATTGTGCACAAACATTATTGGGAAACTAATTAAATAACTCCCCTAAGTGCAACCTGACCAATCCTTTAACAAGGTTACAGTTTGAACCACACCAATCATCTGGTTTGCACGATTTCCTGCTGGACATCAACACCAACCACTAGTTAGACCCAAAACCACCTTGGGAAATAGCTGTGGCTAAGATTTACACAGACCAGTAATGGACTAAATTACTGGTTTAGTGGCAAAACAGGTCAGAAGCATGTATAACATGACAGAAATTGGAAGGTCAATAAAAAAAAATTTATATAGACATTAGACTCCCTGCCCACTCCTCAAAATTAAGCTGAGAGTTTTAAGTTGTTAGAAGACCTAAGAAAAGCCCATCTGTTCACTCACAAAAACCTTATAATTATGATGAAATGCAGATTTGATAAGTAACATATTGAGAAAGATTATCATATTTTAAATATATTTTAGATAGGAAATGAAGTAATCACATCAAACTCTTTTGATATATTTCCGTAAAAGATACACATACATCTAAAGAAAAAATGTAGAAAATTAAAAAACGATGCCTTACTCTTCCATATGCAAGAAACACACATTCCCTAGATGAAAAGATATTTTTCTTTCTTTTTTTTTTTTTTTTTTTTTTTTGGGGAGAGACGGAGTTTCACTCTTGTTGCCCAGGCTGGAGTGCAATGGTGCAATCTCAGCTCACTGCAACCTCCGCCTCCTGGGTTCAAGCGATTCTCCTGCCTCAGCCTCCCAAATAGCTGGATTACAAGCATGCACCACCAAGCCTGGCTAATTTTGTATTTTTAGTAGAGACGGTGTTTCTCCTTGTCGGTCAGGCTGGTCTCAAACTCCCAACCTCAGGTGGTCTGCCCGCCTCGGCCTCCCAAAGCACTGGGATTACAGGCATGAGCCACTACGCGTGGCCAAAAAGGGGAATTTCATGCAGAATATTTTGTTTTCTACACTCATATAAAATATCTATTATACAATATACTCCCTGCCCCCAAAATAAACTATATTTCTATGAAGTATATGAGGGCACACAGTGAACACTGTGAATAATGATGACTGAGTACTATGTGTAGTGAAAAAGAGAATATTAAGTACTTATATCAATAAAAGACAGATTGCTTGATAAATAACAATTGTATTCAGAAGTGTTCAGCTCTGGTTCTGATTAGTTTATACTTAGTACCAATAATTTTCAAAGTCCCTCCAGCAGAGTACTAGACATCCTCATCCCTACTTTATGCCTTTACTGGTCTTATTTGTAAGAAAGGCCTTCCAAAAAAGCTTTTAATCTAAGAAAAGGCTTAAAGTTTGAAATAAACTTTCAAAAACTGCTAAAGTAGATAATGAAAACATATATTTAGATATATTTTCTAGTTTCAGCTCTGACACATAAAAAGCATGGAAGTCATTACTCCTCCTATCCTTACAACAAGAAAAAAACGGAACAAACTAAAGATCAATGATGTCTCCTTATATCCATCTGAACTGTCACAGCCAAACTGCCACTTCAAAATTTGGAGAAATATGCAAATCTAGTGAATCATAGCCAAAATCTGTTTATCCACAGCAGAAGTTGCTGGAGATATAAACTGGTAAAAATATTTCAATTATTTCAATGACAATTTTGAGGAATTGTTGGAAGCTGAGTGAGGATAAATATGAAAGTGAGAACTCCTGGGGGCAGAAGGCTTTGCGATGGTGGTGAGGGGTGGGGTCGGGGGGTTAGTTGCTCTCATACTTTCATGGGTCTTCCCTCCAGGAATCCCATCAGTATCTCCCTGTAATGCACCATAAAAGCTCTTCTCATGGTTCTGGCGAAGGGAAGAGAAGTGTAACCATTATGAAATATGCCCAGAGCATTCTTAATAGGAAAGGCCTATTCTTCAGGTGAAGATACTTTATCAGAACCTTATCTCATCTAGGGTCAGGGCATTATCAAGATTCCAGCGCGCTCTAGCCTTTTTATCTCACATAAAGGAGGTGGGGGTTGGGGAGGAAGCTAGCAAACACTTGTGAAAGTCACAGGCTCATTGAGATTTAATCATAATGTTATGGAATGCTTCTTTCCCCAACCCCTTGCCATCAAAACAAGAGGGCTGTGGTATATTCACAATAAATAATAGCTGAAAGAGCTGTAAGTCTCTGTATAAGGAGGAGTTCTTAGGGAAGCCAAAGACAATAGGGGAGACAAAAACAGGAATACTTAAGGAACTTGAACCCTCTGGCAACTTACAGCAAGAGAAAATATTAAACATAGCCTACTTCTTAGCCAAATTTACATTAAAAGTCCCACAAAATTCTGTTAAACTCAGTTGCTATTATATAGTACATCATAAAAAGTTATAAGACATGCTAAAAGGCTAAAATGTCTGAAGGAGCAAAGAAAGCATCAGAACTAGTTTCGGATATGACAAACATTTTTGAAATTATCAGAGTAAGAATTTAAAAATAACAATTAATATAATTAGGAATCTAATGGAAAAAGCAGACAATATGCAAGAATGGATGGATAATATATAGGCAGAAGCTCAAAGAAAGAATCAAAGGAAAATGCTAGAAATCAAAACAGAAAAGAAGAATGCCTTTGATGGGCTCATCAGTAGATTCAACATGACTAAGGCAAAAATTACAAACATGAACATAGATCAATAAAAACTTCCTAAATCTAGTGCAAAATTTTGAGATTTAGGAAAAAATAAAGGGCAAAAAATCAAACAAAAATAGCCAAGAACCGTTAGACAATTGCAAAAGGTGTAACACACTGAAAAATCAAAAGGAAAAGAAGAATGAAGCAGAACTATTTCAAGTAATAGCTTTCAATAGCCACAAATTTTCTAAAATTAATGACAAACATTGAACCACAGATTCAGGAAGCTCAGGGAACACTACCGCAGCATAAATATCAAATAATGTACACCTAAAGTATATGTATTATATTCAAACTACACAAAACCAAAGAAAAGGAGGAAATTTTGAAAACAGCCAGAGATCCAAAGTATCTAACTCATAGAAGAGGTTCAGAATTATAGTGGATTTCTCTTTAGAAACCATGTAAGCAAAAAAGTGTGAAGTGACATATTTAGTGTTGAGAGAAGAGACTAGTGATATCACATATTAAGATATACCACATTATAATAAAAGATAGTAATAAAATACTATGGTATTTATGCAAGAATAAACAGACTACAGGAGCAGAATAGAAAGCTCAGAGGCCCACGTACATACAGCAACACGATATATGATACAGAAACAGGATGAACATTGTGTGAAAGGTACACTGTTAGTTGAGTAGTTTTCAAACTTAAGTATGCATCACAATCACCTGGTGGGATTGCTGAAACAGACTGATGGGTCCACATGCAGAGTTTTTGATACAGTAGGTCTGGGGAAGTACCACAGAATTTGCATGTCTAACATGCTCCCAGATGATGCTGATACTGAAGCCTGCTGGTCCAAAAAGCATACTTTGAGAACCACTGCTTAAGTATTAGCAGGAGCTCAACAGTTAGAGAGAGTTCCATGAGCACTCAAGTGTCAGGTGTCAGAGTAAAAAATTAGGTAATAATAAACCAAAATGAAAGTAATGAGAAAGTCTGTAATCATTAACTGCTATAGAACAACAGAGAAGCTAAAACTTGAGAAAGCACTAATTTCTTCCTGTTCTAATTTCCCTATGGAACAGCACACAAGTCGAGGGTCAGGTGGATAGATCAGCAGAAAAATGGGGTCAACTCACTGCTGTTGGAGTCCCAAATAAAGGCTCTGGCAGTTTTATAGAGCCTGGAGTAGACGAGGAAGAAAGGGGAGAGGGCTAGGAGTAGAAAGTACTGAACAGTGAGTGAGAAGGGGGAAAAGTGTCTCTAAGGTTTTCCCCTCCTTCTTCCAATAAGGAGGTTTGACAGAGTTGCCTGATAAAGACCTCTGCCAAAGGCCTCAGATAAAGAGAACTAGGGGAAAAGGTGCCTGGGCTAGTAATGGAAATACATGAAGAGCATAGCTAGCCAGGAAGTCCAGAGTACTTGGACGGCAAATTCCTTCAAAGACTACAATGTATTGGCTGTGCACCAAGTCTGGTGCGGGGAGAGTAGTTTTTCCCTGTGAAGCTTGCTAAATAAAGCCTTTTGAAATACTTATGGTCAGGCTGAAAAAAAATCACAATAGGTTTTTAACCAGGATCTGGACTCCTCAAGTACATGCCACTAGAAAAAGCGGCTCACTTTAAGAAATAAATGAAAATGGATATTGGATCTTTGCCTCACATCATATATAATGTTAAGCTCTGTAACTTTATCTACACAGATAAAATACCAAAATGTGAAAGGTAAAATTACAAAGTTAATGGCGGAAAAAAACATAGAGTAAATCTTTGACTAAAGAGGAAGTAAAGGAATTCTTAAAGAAAACAGTACAAACCACAAGGCAAAAATTGATGAATTGGATTACATGAAAATTCGGGATATTGTTTAGCTAAAGACAATATTAGTATTCACATTACAGAAGAAAGAAATGTGTTCTACCCAAAAGCTTTTCAGGATTAATATTTTAAATTATTAATATGACACATCCCTCAAAATTAACAAGAAAAACAGATGAACTTCAATGGAAAAAAAGACTAATAAATAGGCAATTTAATGAAAAGGTAATTCCAAAAGTTAACAAATTTATGACAAATGCAAATTAGAAATGAGGTATCATTTATTCAAAGAGTAAAAAATTAGAAACTAGAAAATGTTAAGTATTTAGGGGGAAATGGGGATGTCAGGATCTCTGTGCATTGCTGGTAGGACTGTAGCCTGTCACCAACATTCTGACGAACAAATCGGCAGGACTTAAATATATGCATAAACTATTATCTACCAATTACTGGGAGAGTAGATAGGAAAAACATGGTGGATTCATACAATGGATTCTTCAATTTGGAAAAATTAGGTTTCACAAAGTAACAGATGGATATTTAAAATATGGGATTTAGGGCCAGGCACAGTAACTCACTCCTGTAATCCCAGCACTTTGGGAGGGTGAGGCAGGAGGATCACTTGAGGCCAGGAGTTGGAGACCAGCTTGGACAACACAGCAAGATCCCATCTCCACAAAGATAAATAAAAATTTAGCTAGCCTTGGTGGTGCAAGCCAGTAGTCCCAGCTACTTGGAAGGCTGAGGTGGGAGAGTCACTCAAGATCAGGAGTATGAAGTTCCATAAAACAATCTTCCAAATATGCAATTTATTTCAAGTGCCTTCAACTGTTCTACAACTCTGCATTCACTGTCCTTTCAATATGTCCCAATTTGAATACAACCTTTTAGAAGTATGATATGCAGAACTAAAAGGAATTATATGATATAAATTTAAGTTAGACTGGGGCTACCTCTTCTCATCTTTTTTCTTTTTTGGAAACTAAATTTCAATTACACACAATTAAATTACATTAGTTTTTAAAATTTTCTTTGAAAACTCACTGTTAAAAAATATTAAATACATGTTGTATGGCTGAGTTTGGCTCCTCCAAATCCTCTCCTGATGCAGAAGTTTTTACTGTAAGATCATAGTATTTATTCCTTTTGAATTTCACTTTGAATTCAGCCCCACTATTCCAGCGTTTTAAAATACTTTAAATATGACCTTATGTCATATACAAATGTGAAAATATGCTTCAATATTTTCATAGCAATAAATGTTGAGCAGAATAAAGATACAGATAGTACCCCTTGACATTCTACCATAGTCCTATCCTCCAAGTGGATATCAATCCATACATTGATATATGTGGTGTGGCCAATTATTTCTCTAATGCCTTTGTCCCCCGTATATTTCATACTTTTGTTCACTAGGACTGCATAAGAAACTTACTAATATTTAGATATTAAAGTCCTTCCCCATTTTCCTGACTGACTAGCCTAGCAAATCTCCTCAAAAGTTAAGTTTAGCCTGACAATCAACAGTTTGCAAAATATAAATATTCTTTTTGAAAGTTAAGAATTTTTCTCTATTTGTAGTCTAGGGTACTTAGAGCATTATTTTTAAATGCCTCAGAAGATCACAGGAAATGTTTCATTTTTTTATTTTGCATGTCCCTTGGTCACAATTCTCCTGGACAGGGCATCAGCTTGGTGCACAACTGTTGTATTTTCACTACTCTAGAGTTTCTGTTTTCTTTTAATAATTTCCTCTGTCAGAAAGAAGTTATCTTTGTATTGAGGGAGATTAATAAGCCAAACAATAACAACAACAACCACCAACAACAACAAACACCAACAACAACAACCTTGGAATTACAGAAAAAGTATTAAACAGGAGTTAAGAAGTTCTAATTTAGTTCTCACTATTACAAATTTTTCCCAACCAATGAGTAGGACGATTCTTTCCCTGGTTTTCGTAATGTGAACATATACTTTTAAAGTGAGGATGATGATTTTCCTACTCTCTCAAAGAATACATTAAAGAGAAAGAGAAAACAAACTTCTTATTTTGTAACAGATTTCAGTTTAAAATGTCACTTTGTAATAACTCTTAAATTCACTGTATGTGGAGAATAAAGAAAAGTGAAGCATGTGGTAAGAGAAAAACAATTTTATGGCTAGCCACAATCTGCTAACATATAACTATATACATTTGGGACAATAATTAGCAGTTAATAAAATGTGTTTTTCCTGGCAAATAAAGGGTCTCAAGGCACACTTTTTCGGCTTATTTTATGAGAATGAGACTCAAGTGATCCTGATGGTATGCTTAGAATGGATTAGAATAATAACACCAAAAGTAATAAAATTAGTATTATTTTTATAACCACTGTATACAAAATTAAGAAGATAAAAATAGTATTAAATGCCATTAATTACTATAAAATTTATATTTTGATAAGTACCCTTTTACCTCCTATAACCCATATAAATATTAGTATGAAAAGGCAATTACCAAAAAAGTATTGAATTAAATATAATTGGATAAATTCCACTTGAATTGTATAAGAAAGCCAAACTCTATTTTGATGTGATTGATTTTGGTACTTTTGGATACTATGTTAAAGACAACAACCAGAATTCCTCAATATCCGTCTAAATGTATAAATAAATCAATGATTTACATTAAAGCATTTGGCAAATCCTAAAGTGATAGAGTGATTGATGCAAGTACAGGTTTCCACCGTTTCAAAGACTATTATACATTAATAGTGAAACAAGACTCCAGGAGACAAGTAGCACAAAGTATGTATAGGCAAATTAGAAAAGCACAACAAGTACTCAAGACTCCTTACAAAGTGATGTCAATCTCAAGGATCAGCAAATAAAGACAAATTTACAAAGTGTATCAGCCAGGGTTCCCCAGAGGAACAGAAATGATAGGATACAGGGAAGGAATAGGAAGAAGGATAAAGGAAAAGGGGGAGATTGGCTGATTTTATGGAACAGGCTCACAGGCTTGTGGGGGCTAGCAAGTACAAAATCCTTAAGGGAAACAGGCAGACTGTAAACACAGGCAGAATTTCTATGTTACAGTGTTGAGGAGGAATTTCTTCTTCTTCAGGAAACTGTTGGAATCATCCTAAATGCCCATCAATGACAAACTGGATTCATCAACCTAAATGCCCATCAGTGACAGACATATACACCATGGAATACTATGCAGCCATAAAAAAGAAAGACATAAAAAAAAAAAAAGAAAGAGATCACATCCTTTGCTGCAGCATGGATGGAGCCGGAGGTCATTTTCCTAAGCAATCTAACTAGGGACTGAAAACCAAATACTACATGCCCTCACTTCTAAGTGGGAGCTAAACACTGAGAATACATGGACAAAAAGAAGGGAACAATAGACACCAGGGCCTACCTGAGGGTGGAGGGTGGGAAGAGGGAGAGGATCTAAAAACTATCTACTGGGTACTAGGCTTATTACCTGGGTGCAAAATAATCTATATACCAAATCCCCACGACACACAACTTACCTATATAACAAACCTGCACATGTATCCCTGAACCTAAAATAAGTTTTAAAACATAGTTTTTTAAATGTTGGTAAAAGCTAAGTCCATGATCATCTTCTTGTATTGTTTGTGATTTATAAATTGGTATACAAAGAATTTTCACAGTATATGCTAAAATGTCTTAAAATGTTAACAATAACATGAACAATAAGATGAAGAGAAAAAAGGTCCTTGCATATAGTAATTCCACTGCTAGAAATCTATGCTGAGAAAAAATTGCAAAAAAAGGAAAGTAACACATGGATATAATTACTCATAGCAACATTCTGTATACTGGAAAAATACATGAATAAACTAAGTTCTGACAATAGAAAGCCACCAGTAAAAAGTTATTTAAGAACTCAAAAAACATTTGTGAATTCAAAAATTTTGCGGATTCTAAATGTCAGATATTGAAAATAAAGAAATATTTAATGAAATATCACTGCCCTCAGTGAGTTTTCAAGCTACTGAAAAAAAAAAAACCATAAAATGCACACCTGCAACACTGTTAAGTGAAAACAGGAAGATGTCATATAATCTATAATTGCAAGTATGGGAAAAGGAACAAATAGGTGGGAAATACAATAACAACGCTTAAGTGGTGAGACTCTGGGTTTGCTTTTCTTCTTCTTCTTCCTTTACCTTTCATTTTCCATGGGTCATGTAAACACTGAGGTAAACAAACAAACCTTGAGGGTAAGGACTGTGTCTTATGTGCTGTCAATCAGCTAGCACTCAGTAGTGTCTGATACATACAGATGGCATATAACAATTCCTCTAATGATTATCAGACTTTTAAAGTAGGAAAAATAACACAAAAATATTTTAAATAAAAGAATTATTCACATTTCTATTTCATTTAGAGCTATGTGAACATCAAAGTCCAGCTAATAACAGTGCTCAAACATATCCATTTAATCTAAACCTGTCTAGAAGAGTTTCAAGCCATAGAAAAATTTCATCTAGAGCTTTGAATGTATCAAATTTTCTACATAACAGAATGCATTGTTATGATTTGTGATTTTTTTGCTTTAAGTTTTGAAGTTAGATCTGGAATCAAATCCAAATTTTGTTACCTATTAGTTACTGGTTATGTGATATGGGTCAGCTTCCTAAATTTTACTGAATAACTGATTATCACCTCTACTATCTATCTTACAGTGGTTTTCCAAAGAAATTTTTAGGCCAGACATGGTGACTCACACCTTTAATCCCAGCACTTTGGAAGGCCAAGGCAGGAGTATTACTTGAGCCTAGGAGTTCGAGATCAGCCTGGGAGACACAGTAGGAACCCATAGCTACAAAAAACACAAAAATTAGCCAGGTGTGGTGCCATGTGCCTGTAGTCCCAGCTACTCAAAAGGCTTAGGTGTTAGGATAGCTTGAGCCAAGCAGGTTAAGGCTATGGTGAGCCATGATCACACAAATGTACTCCAGCATGGGCGATGGAGTGAGATCCTATCTCAAAGAACAAAAAAAAAAAAATGATAATTTAAAAAAAACAGCACATGAAAGAGACCAACTGTATTACTTGGCACATAGTAAATGTTGCATTGATGACACTAATTATTTTGATTAATAAGTAAATGTCTCCAGGTGGTTATCCTCTATTACTGATTGACCAATATCAGTAAAAGTAGACTTACAAAACGTCTGTCAATAAATTTTGTCCAATATTCTACTTAGACAAAAGTAGCCATTTTGCTAATACTGCTACATCTGCTTACTTTTTATTGAAATTAGATTGACAAAAAAAGATTTATTGGTTTATATTTTTCTTGTGTCATTTTTTATGACTCTTATAAGTAATGATTGAATTTTGCTTTTAAATCCAATCTGATATAAAATTTTTGTACTGCAAAAGAAAATAAGACCACTTATATTTACCGTCATGATAGTTATGATAGTTTTACTAGTTGGCCTGACTCCAGTGTTGTTTCTACACAGATGTGGTAGAATAAAGTGAGATTAAATGGTCTTGTGAAGATTTCTACAGCATTCTGGGCTTATCCTTTTCTTACTAATTACTCTTATTTTATTGTAATGGCCTAGTACTAGAGTTTGGCTTTCCACACTGGGTTGCAGGCTTTTACTGGCACAGACTTTTTCACTGTTATATCCCTAGGACCCCTCCAGGGTTTGGTATAAAACATATGTAAAAAAATGCTTGTTTTTCCCGTAGAATATCTGACAAAAAAAGAGTGAATGAATGGATGGATGTATAAAATAATGTACATAAGCATTTTGACAAATACCTAGAACATGATTAGTCCTCATTAAACATTATAATTAATGGCCTTATTTTTACTTTTAACTGTTGGAGTTTGTTTGACTTGCCTTTATCTTGTGTAATTATTTTGATGGTAGATATTCAACTTTAAATTTCATAATGGCCAGAATAAAGCTCTCAACAAACATTTTGAATGTCACGCTTATCTA
Source organism: Homo sapiens (assembly GCF_000001405.40). Taxonomy (NCBI): domain Eukaryota; kingdom Metazoa; phylum Chordata; class Mammalia; order Primates; family Hominidae; genus Homo; species Homo sapiens. Next base: position 28,418,800 of record NC_000012.12, on the reverse strand, counting down.
AATGTGGCTGCATATAATAACAACCAAAACTTTTTATTTAATTTAAGGAAGAAGAAAATAAGACCTTTTTGGCCCGATCCTTTCTTTCATTCTAAGAATCCAGTAGTTTAATCTAATTTTGAAATATCACATCTTAAAAACTTTGAAATCTATTTTACAGTATTAATCTGCCATTAACATAATAATAATTTCAATAGCTACTATTCAGCTTTTTCTAAAGGACAGCACTATGCTTTGAGATTATATCCCAATTAAGGCACATTATATCTCATTAAAGGAAAATAATTTTGAGTAGATGGTCTTTGAAGAGATAAGGAAATTCAGGCAAAGTCAATAGCTAAAAGTTGTACAGTTTGAATTTTACCTTACTGTGCTTCAGACAACTATATAATACTACCTTCCATCTTAGAATAATTAAAACAGTTTTTTGTCTCAGTTTATTGATGAATGTTTTATTTCATTTTTAAATTTTTATCTAGCTTTAGCAATTGTTGTCAGTTTCTACTACAAATTACGTTTTTGGTAAATTTTTCATAAATTTTGGTAAGCTATTAGAATGGCTTAAAACAGACAATGCCAAGAGCTGCTGAGAATCCAAAGGAACCTGAACACACATACATTGCTTGTGAGAATGCAAAATGGTACAGCCACATTGGAAAATAGTCTGACACTTTATCAAATTAAACATGCACTAACCAAATGATCCACCAGTGCTACTCCTAAGTATTTAACCCAGAAAAGGAAAACATATGTATTCCAAAAGCTGCACATGTATGTTTTATTGCAGATTTATTCATAATTGCCAAGAACTGAAAACAACCTGAATTTCCTTCAATTGCTAAATGGATAAAATATAACACATTTACCACTCAATGTAGGACCACTCAGTAATGGAAGGAAAAACTATGAATAAATATACAACATAGGTGCACTGGAAATGTATTATACTAAATAACAGAAACCAGACTCAAAAGGCAACATACTTAATGTACGGCATTGGGACCATAGTTAATCCAGTATTGCATGGTTGAAACTTGCTAAAAGGGTAGATCTTAAATGTTTTCACCACACACATAAAAAAATAACATTGTGATGTGATGGATACGTTATTAATAATTAGTTTGACTGTGGTAATCATTTAACAATGTGTGTGTGTGTGTATATATATATATATATATATCTCAAAGGTTCACGTTGTACAGCTTAAATACACACAATTTTAATATATACATTTATGCCTCAATAAAGCTGGGGAAAAATAAAAAGACAAAAGAAAAATACTAAAACAAAAAAGGTAACATACTATTTGATTCCAAGCATATAACACTATTGAAAAATAAAAACTATTGAGACCTAAAACAGATCACTGCCAAGTATCAGGGATGGGGAATAAGACTGGTTACAAAGAGCACGAGGAAATCTTTTGGGGTAACAGAATTGTTTTATATTCTGATTATGGTAGTAGCTGCATGATTGTGTTTGTCAAAATTTACAGGACTGTACTTTCAAAATGACAAATGTTACTGCATGCAAAGTATAGCTTTTTAAATGAAAAAATAAATGAAAGCCAACATCACAAATAAGATAAGCAAAAAAATTAAAAATTAATAAAAAAGGAAACCCAATAACCACACATTTTGAATGTAAAGAACTGTGTAAAAGCAAATATCCTAAATTTCAGGCCCAAAATCTAGAAGTTCATACAGGTTCCTACTGCCATTATTCAATGGACTGAACATCACAGACACAGCAAATGCTAGAAAGAGGAGGAGTGGTAGAGAGGCTCAAGAGATCCATATACATACACAGAAAAAGATGAAACCAGAGACCATCAAAGCAACATAACTAAATTGAAAGGTCAAGGCCAATAGGAAGTGGTCAATTCATATATTTATGTCCATAATCATATATATATATTCATATACATAATACTACATATGATAAGTGTGTGTGTATAACCATTGCTATAGTTGTCTGTGTCTGAGTACTGACAAGATACTCTGCTTGACCAAAATCTTCAGTCAGACTCTTCTAAGCTCTGTTTTTGACTAGGCCTTGACCCTGGCTCCTGATCTTGCCAGAAATGCTTAACCCACCTTCAGCAAGAATCTAACTTAGTAGTAGGTTTGGACAAAATCCCCCTTTCTTGATATCTCATCAAATTCTTCTCCCGATCTTCACCATCTGATCATCCTAGCCTGCCCTCCTGTTAGGTCAGTTTAGCAACAATTCCCCCTATCCTTGATGTATCCTTTCAGTAATTTTCCATCCACCCACCCACTCCCACCTGTCCTTGCCGATACATCCCCTCTTGTTCTTACTGTATTCAGGGTTGAGCCTAATTTCTTTCTTCTATTGCAGTAGTCTTGAATAAAGTCTTCCTTATCATTTAAAAAAGTGTCAGAATAGTTTTTTTTTCTCTAACAGTACACACCATACAATATCTATACCCTTTGATACACACCAGAAGCTTTTGGGTAAGACAGAATTGGTTTAAGAAAAGTACAATTCCAGAAATAGTCTCTACCTATTTAATATAAATGCTAAGCTAGTGCAGCAACAACAATGATAATAGTTGTGGGGATATAACACTTACTGACAAAAATAATGCTATAAAAACATAAAAGTTAATAAGAAGCTTATTAGATATAAAGACATTAGTACCCTTTTTCCTGTGTTAGATTTTTGGAAACTCCAAGAAGCAGCTGGGTGAGGAGTGCTGTCTAGGTGCTGACTCCTCATCTAAATATAACAAAAAACGCTAAGAGCCATTCCTCCTTCATGATAAATTACCTCATGACTGGATTTCCAAGAAAAAAGAAAAAAAAAAACACATTCCTCAGTGCTGAATATTCAGGACACAGCCTGACAATTACATTTGAATAGCTTTGGTACTGAATGATATCAAGAACAAAACCAGACTTAATTTGCAAAATATGCTGAAACTCCAGAAAATAATGTCAACATTGCCTTTTTTCCACTTTATTCTTAGTTTTTAAAATCATGTCTCCTATATTGACTGTAACCACTATATAAGTTCACAAGAATATTTTCAGGTAGGGAGGCAAATTTTGACTCAAAATATTTTTTTCTGTAGTGAAAAGTAAATGTACACACACACACACACACACACACAAATATATATCTTTATTAGTTAAATAAAGGCTATATGCAAATCAATATTACAAAAAAATTTCCATGTTTTTATAATTATTTTTTTCATGGATATATCCTCAGTAACAAGACTTGCTTTTAACTACTCATTTTAAAATCCGCTTTACAGCCGGGCACAGTGGCTCACGCCTGTAATCCCAGCACTTTGGGAGGCTGAGGCAGGCGGATCACCTGAGGTCAGGAGTTCGAGACCAGTCTCAACATGGAGAAACCCCGTCTCTACTAAAAATAAAAAATTAGCCGGGCACGGTGGTGCATGCCTATAATCCCAGCTACTCGGGAGGCTGAGGCAGGAGAATTGCTTGAACCTGGGAGGTGGAGGTTGCAGTGAGCCGAGATCGTGCTATTGCACTCCAGCCTGGGCAACAACAGCAAAACTCCATCTCAAAAAAAAAAAAATCCGCTTTACAAACAAATAACATTTCACATGGTTTCTAAAATTTACCTAAAGAGAAGAGCCTTAAAGGAAAGTAGAAAAAAATTAAAAATAGATAAACCTTAAAGCACTCTAGAAAACAAAATAACTTGAATACCTTAGCCCATAATATTACCAAAATGTTAGCTAATTATATTTAAAACCCTAGAGGTATCTCCGCATAAGTGTTTTCTATATTATTTGACCAGTAAGAAAAAGTGCCTTCCCAAAGAAAGAAAGAGTTTAATTTTCAATATGATGAAAGTGTTAATGCATTAAACAAGAGGAACGGGTTTTTTCATTGTTTCTAAGGCATTCACCTATGGAGTATCTCATTTGTGTATGACTTAATATGTCATTTGTTTTACTTCTACTTTATTGCCCCAAGTTCATTGCTCTATGTTTCTTTTCTCTGTTTAAGGTGCCAAGACCACAATATTTTTCTGTTCTTCCCAAGCAGAATGAGTGGGTGTCTTGTAACAATATATCATTACCAATTTTCCTCTAAATGAATACAAGGAATATTTTAAAACATTACCATGATCTGGAAATGTAATGACTGATACTCAAATGAATAGCCAAGTGTGATCAAATGCCTGTGCCATACAGAAAAGAATCATGTGACACACAGGAGACCAGGCATAAAGCACCCATTCCTTAATCTTAATTAAACCTAGACATAAAGTATGCAGATTCAAAAATAAAATGTTTAAATTATAATAATTCCTTAAATGTTGGGGTACTTTTTGAACATTTCAATTATATTTTTGAATATTCTCATATATTAATATTTAAATAGTAATCTATATCTACTTTCAAGCTAAAAGCAACTTTCACCTTCTTCCTTCCCCTACACACAGACAAAATAAGAATTTTTTTTACTTGCTTGGCATCCAAACTATCTGACTTGTTGTCTATAATCATTTATTATTACAATATTTCTCAACTTTTTAAATGTTGTTACACATTTCTAGAGGTATATATTTCTGTCATAAATTTTGGGCTGTAAAAAATATATATCTAACAGTATAAAAATTTTAGAAAGACAAAGACAAACGAGTTTTGATGTATTAAAGGTAGCTACCATCAACAAATAAACCCCAAAATTTTAGTAAATTAACACACATAAGTTTCTTTCTTGGAAATGTTCCTGAATGAGGAGATTCCCTCCAAGTGGTAAATCACAGACCCAATTTCCTTTCACTCGTGGTTCTGCCATTGACAAACATCTTAATGTGTTATCTAACAGGCAAAAAGGGAAAGAGATCGTAGAGAAAGGACATGTACCGTATTCATCAGAAAGTGAAACATATTTCTTGCACTCACAAATCATTGGTAAACACTAAGCAACCTGAACCTTGTTTACTGTCCAGGAAAATTAAAAGTTAAACTATTGAATTTGAAAAGTATTATTTCATGTCAATTGTTTTATTTGAAAGATTATTTCATGGGAGCATAAAGGTAAAAGCATGCTTTTATGAACTGCAATCACCCAACAGAAGCAATGGAAAAGGTTCCCTGTGGGAGGAGCAACTTGCCAGTGACAACGCTATACTAAGAAAGAGGAAGAACAAATTTAGGTGCGCAGTTTGTTATCACTGTCACGCCTCAGCAGGATGTATACAAAATAAATTCAAAAATAAATGATAAGATCATCTGAGTAAAATTACAGCACATCAAGAATAAGTAAAACTATTAAAAACAACCAAAGAGAAAAGATAAATTACCTAAAAAACATCAAAAATGTTCAGACAAAAACAAATATTAGTTAAGTTTACACTTTACAATTAATAAAGACTATAATTTAGGAAAGAAATTAAACACATGAGGAGGGAGAAGAGGCAAGAAGCAGCTAGGAACATTTAAAATATGGGGGTAAAAATCCATTAAGAACTGTGGGGAAAGAATATTTTCTTCTGCTTCAACAGGCTCTTAGTTGGAAAGGACCCCTATACCAAAAAAATGTTTAATAGGAGAAAAATGTAAGTTTATTAACATGTATATTTCATATATATATGGGAGATGCCCAGGGAATGAGTAGTTCTCAAGAGGTGGTTCTGAGTTCTAGCTTATATAGTATCTTTAACAAAGAACAGTCGATTTTTGGAGAAATGAGAAAACAATGGAAAAGGACTTTTTTGAGTCTCTAGAGGCAGCAATTTGTGAGACAAATAAATGGCAGATAAAAGCCAGTTAGTAAAGCCTATTAATATAGATTCCACTGGTACCATCTCCAGGCCAAAAAGGATTTAAAGTTATCTTCAGTGACTAACCTTTATTCTTCCTGGTGGAATTGAGAGGTGAGGCCAGCTGGACTTCCTGGGTCGAGTAGGGAGTTGGGGAACTTTCCTGTCTTACAAGAGGATTGTAAAATACACCAATCAGCACTCTGTAAAACGCACCAATCAGCAGGATTCTAAAAGCAGCCAATCGCAGGAAGGATTGAAAAAAGGGCACTCTGAAAGGACAGAAATGGAACATGGGAGGGGACAATAAGGGGATAAAAGCTGACCACCCCAGCCAGCAGCAGCAACCTGCTCAGGTCCCCTTCCATGCTCTGGAAGCTTTGTCCTTTCATTCTTCAAAATAAGCCCTGCTACCTCTCACTCTTTGGGTCCGTGCCATCTTCAAGAGCTGTAACACTCACCGTGAAGGTCCGCAGCTCCATTCTTGAAGTCAGCAAGACCACGATCCCACCAGCAGGAACCAACTCCAGACACAGAATGGTGAGTGAAAGATGGGGAAGAGATGATGGCAGGATACCTTGCCTTTCTAAATCTATGTCCTACTTTTAGGCAGAGAGCTTTCCTGTATCTGCTTCTTCTTAACTGCCTTCAACTCAACAATTCTTCATATTTTGGGGTAGCATGATCTGGTCTCCCACATGATTAAATATAAGTAACAATAATAATATTTGGAAGAATTTAAGAATAACAAAGAACTCAATACATTCATGCATCACTTAATGACAGGAACACATTCAGAGAAATGTGATATTAGGCAATTTCATCATTGTGTGAACATCATAGAGTGTACTTACACAAACCTAGATGATATAGCCTACTATACACCTAGAATGTATGGTGTAATCTATTGCTCCTAGGCTACAAACATGTACAGCATGTTACCATACTAAATACACTGGGCAACTGTAATACAATAGTAACTATTTGTGCATCTAAACATATTTGCCATGTTTGTTTGTCCCTACCAAAACTCATGTTGAAATGTGATCTCCAATGTGGTGGTGTTGGGGGGTAGGGCCTAGTGAGAGGTGTCTGGGTTATCGGAGTGGATCCCTCATGAATGGTGTGATGCCTTCTTCTGAAATACCTCCTGAAGGACCTGCCTGAGGCTTTTTCTTGAGGTGTCACTCTTTTCAGAAATATTCCATGGTGGTTTGCTTGGTTTCTTTTTTCATTTTAGATTTTCATGAGTAATGTACTGCACTGTGACATTTATGACATTTATACAATGTCACTAGGTGATAGGAAAATTTCTTTTCTATTATAATCTTATAAGACCACCATCTTATATACAGTCCATCGTTCACCAAAACATCATTATTCAGTGGATGACTATACTAAACAATTATGGGTACAGGAAGGAAAGAGTAAAAACATAGTAAATTCTGTATAAAGCTGGTGCTTTAGGGAAGGAAGAGAAAGTGAAATATGACAAAGAAGTCAAGAGTTAGCTCTATTTGTAACTTTTTCCTCTAAACATAATAGATCTGGAGCATATATCTCACAATAAAATCATCTGTTAAATCTTGACACCGTCTATAAGATCATTTTTGTGTTTGTTCAATTTAATTACAAATATTCTAATTAAAATATGTGATATAGAAACTTCCAAAATCAAATGGGGAAGAAATTTTCCATATTTCAAAGGAAATCATATGTTTTAAAAACACAAAACTGCTAAATGCTAATGGTAAGAGCAGTAAAATTTTAAAACATACTTTTTTTTTTCAAAAAGAAAACCTTAAAAAATCTGTAACAATGTCTGAGTGAACTATTTCTTGTATTTCAGAAGAATGGACATCCTCAGTGTAAAAGTAACCACAGTGGAACTAATTAAGAAATTTACCATCATAACTATAGCTTTTAGTTGTTATGCATTACCACACAGTAGGAACTGTCCTTCATTTAATTATTTAACCTCCCTCTAAAGCAACCACAAAAATAACAAAGACATATAGATGATAAGCCAACAAAGGAGACCTAAAATGATACCATTAAAATATCCAATTTAAAAGGAAGCAAAAAAACATGAGGGAATAATGAACACAAGGAACAGACAGAAAACAAAGAATGAGGAGATACATTTAAAATGAAAAAACGTCAATAATCACATTAAATTTAAAGGGTTTTAAAAACACAATTAAGGCTGGGTGTGGTGGCTCATGCCTGTAATCCCAGCACTTTGGGAGGCTGAGGCGGGCGGATTACCTGAGGTCAGGAGTTTGAGACCAGCCCGGCCAACATAGTGAAACCCTGTCTCTACTAAAAATACAAAAATTAGCCAGGCATGGGGGCACACACCTATAGTCCCAGCTACTCAGGAGGCTGAGGCAGGAGAACTGCTTGAGCCCAAGAGACAGACGTTGCAGTGAGCCGAGATCATGCCACTGCACTCCAGCCTGGCTGACAGAGCCAGACTCTGTCTCAAAAAAACAAACAAACAAACAAACAAACAAAAAACACATACACACAATTAAAAGCTACTGATTGTTGGACTGGATAAAAAACAAGATGCAATAATATGCTTCCTACAAGAAAACCCATTTGAAACATAAACCAATATATTAAAAGTACAAGAATAGGGGATAATACATCATACTAACAATAATCAAAATAAATGTGGAGAACTTATATTAATATCATACAGAGTAGATTTCATAGGAAATAATATTACTAGAGAAAGAGATGAGCATTTCATAGTAATAAAGGGACAAATATATAAAGAAGACATCATAATCCTAAATGTGAATACACTAAATATAAGTGTGTCAAAACTACTCAAAAAATAATCAGAGCAGCAAGGAGAACTAGTCATATCCAAAAGTACGGTCAGAGATTTCAACACTTGCCTCTCAATGACTAGCAGAACAAGTACACAGGAAATTAGTAACAATACACAAGACTTGACAAGACACCAAAAAATTTGACCTAAATGATATTTATACAAAATTCCACCAACACCAGAATGTACAACCTTTTCAAGTAGACAAGGGATGCTTACAAAGACAGACTATAGTCTAGGCCATAAAAGAAACCTCAAAATGTATTCAAACCACATAAGTATGTTATCTATCAAAACCAGAATGAGATTAGAAATATAAAAAAAAGAAATACATCTGAAAAACACCGACATATTTAGAAACTAAATAAAAACTCTTCTAAATAACCTAGTGGTTAAAAAAAATCAAAAGATAAATTTAAAAGTATTTTGAATTGAAAATGAAAACATGACCTTTGAAAATGTGAAAAATGCACCTAAAGTAGTACTTAGAAGGACATATATATCATTAAATATCTACATTTTAGAAGAAAAGCCTCAATGCAAGACCTAAGCCCCTATTTTAAAACACTAGAATAAATGCAAATTGAAAGCCAATTAAGTTACGTAAATTAAATAATAAAGGTTTCAGAAGAAATCAGTGACATAGAAACTTAAAAATCAATGAAACCAAACGCTGGTATTTGAGAAGGTTAAGAAAAAAGAATTGATAAATCTCTAATAAACTAATCAGCAAAAAGAAAGAAAACATAGATTACAATTATCTAGACTAAGACAAGAGATAATCACCAAAGTTTATAGATATTTTAAAAGGATAAGGGAATATATGAAAAACATGCACACACTTATACTTAACACAAAGATAAACAGGTATATACATTTGTTCAACAAAATGCAACATTTTTTCCTGGAATAAAAACTAGGAATAGAAAGAAAAATACTCAGCTTAATAAAGGGGCTTTGACAAAAACAGGTACAGCTAAAATAATGGAAAAATTAATGCTTTCTTCTTATGATCAAGCAAAAGGCAAAAATATTTGCTTCTCATCTTTCTATTTAAACATTGTATTAGAAGTTTGGCAAGTGCAATAAGAAAAAGAAATAAAAGGTATCAAGATTAAAAAGGAAGATGCAACAACATCCTTTTATACTTAGAAAACATATCTATGTAGAAAATTCTATAAACCCTACAAAAAATGCTGCTAAAACTAACAATTTTAGATAATTACAGAATATAAGATTAAAGTCAGGCATGGTGACTCACCCCTGTAATCCCAGCACTTTGGGAGGCAGAGGTGGGTGGATCACTTGAGGTCAGGAGTTCGAGAGCAGCCTGGCCAACATGGTGAAACCCTGTCTCTGATAAAAACACAAAAATTAGCCAGGCATTGTGGTGCACACCTGTAATCCCAGATACTTGGGAAGCTGAGGCAAGAGAATTGCATGAACCCAGGAGGCAGAGGTTGCAGTGAGCCAAGATCATGCCACTGCACTCCAGCCTGGGATACAGAGCAAGACTCTGCCTCAAAAAAATAAAAAAATAAAAAAATAAACCATCAAAAAGTGAGCAAAGTATATGGACAGACACTTCTCAAAAGAAGACATTTATGTGGGCAACAAATATATGAAACAAAGCTCATCATCCCTGGTCATTAGAGAAATGCAAATCAAAACCACAATGAGATACCATCTCAACGCCAGTCAGAATGGCTATTATTAAAAAGTCAGACGCATGCACAAGTATGTTTATTGCAGCACTATTTACAATAGCAAAGACTTGGAACAAACCCAAATGTCCATCATTGATAGACTGGATAAAGAAAATGTGACACATATATACTATGGAATACTATGCAGCCGTAAAAACAAATGAGTTCATGTCCTTTGCAGGGACATGGATGAAGCTGGAAGCCATCATTCTCAGCAAACTAACACAGGAACAGAAAACCAAACACCACATGTTCTCACCCATAAATGGGAGTTGAACAATGAGAACACATGGACACTGGGAGGGAAACGTCACACACCAGGGCCTACTGGGGGTTGGGGGACAAGGGGAAGGAGAGCATTAGGACAAATACCTAATGCATGTGAGGCTTAAAACTTAGATGACGGGTTGATAGGTACAGCAAACCACCATGGCACATGTATACCTATGCAACAAACCTGCACGTTCTGCACATGTATCCCAGAACTTAAAGTAAAATAAAAAATAAAAAAAATATATATATATATGTATATATCTATGTATATGGTTAAGACCAATTGTGTCCTTATGTCCTAGCAGCAAGCATGAGATAATTGAAATTGAAAACTAAAAACTATAAAAGTTAAACTAACATTGAAAAATATGAACTAGTCAGAGATAAATCTAGCAAAAGATGTAGTAAACCTGAATATTGAAAACTTAGAACACTGCTGAGGGAAATTAAGGAAGACCTAAATAAATGGAGCAATGTACCTGGTTCATAGGTACAAAGACTCAATATTGTGAAAATGTCAGTTCTCCCTAAATTTATTCAACTCAACCAAAATCAACATACCAACAGGCCTTGTTGTAGAAATTGCTTGGTGGATTATAAAAGTTACATGGAAATGGAAAGAACCTAAAATATCCAAAACAACTTTGTAAAATAAAAACAATACTGGATTATAAAAGTTATGTGGAAATGCAAAGAACCTAAAATATCCAAAACAACTTTGCAAAATAAAAATAATGGAGGGCTTACAGTACTTGATTTCAAAACTGACTAAATATCCATGCTAAATAAAGCAGTATCATAATGGAGTAAAGTTTGACAAATAGATACATGAAAGAGAATAGAGAATCAAGTGATAGATCCACATATATATGGTCGATTGATTTTTGACAAACGTACTGTATTATTCCATTCTTGCATTGCTATAAAGAAATACCCGAGACTAGATAATGTATAAGAAAAGTGGTTTAATGGGCTCGCTGTTCTTCAGGCTGTACAGAAAACACAGAAGCATCTCCTTTTGGGGAGTAGGCCTCAGGAAGCTTCCAATCATGTTGAAAAGCAAAGGGGGAGCAAGCACATCACATCGTAAAAGCAGGAGCAAGACACGGGGTGGGAGGTGGCACACGTTTAAACAATCACTTCTTGGGAGAACTTACTGTCATGAGGATAGAACCAAGGGGATGGTACTAAATCATTCATGAGAAAACTGCCTCCATGATTCAATGACTTCCCACCAGGCCCCAACTCCAACACTGGGAATTTAAATTCAACATGAGATTTGTGTGGGCACAAAGATCCAAACCATGTCATGTACAAAAGAAATCCACTGGTAAAAGAATAGGCTTTTCAGCAAATAAGACTGGAAGAGTTGGGTATTGATATTCAAAAAAAAATAGTTAAAATCTGATACCATATATAAAAATCAACTCAAAATGAATGATTCATAAACTATGAATTAAAACTATAAAACTTTAATAGAACATAGGAAAAACCTCTTTTGATATTGAGTTAGGCAATGGTTTCTTGGATAAGACACCCAAATTATAACCACAGAAGAAAAATTGATGAGTTGGATTTCATATAACCTTAAAACTTCTGCTCTTAGAAACATATCAGGAAAATAAAAAGACAAGCCACAGACTGTGATAAAAACAATTGCAAATCACATACTGATGAAGGGTTTATATCTAGAATATATCAAGAACTCTCATAACTCAATCATAAGAAAACAACAAATGAGCAAAATTGTGAAAACACATTTTACATATACTTTACCATACAACCTAGCTAGGTATTTGATCATACGACCTAGCTAGGTCTCTACTGCTAATAACTTATCCAAGAAAAATAAAAGCATGAGTCCATACAAAGACTTGTACACTAATAACGACTTTCTCAAAAATTGAGGGATTTTTTTTTTTTTTTTATTGGAAGAACAGGCTCGCAAGAAATGTTAAAAGTAGAGATTTCCACCATGAAGAATAGCTAATGGATGCTGGGCTTAATACCTAGGTGATGGGTTGATCTGTGCAGCAAACCATCACCATGCACACGCTTACCTATGTAACAAACCTGCACATCCTGCACATGTACCCTGGAACTTAAAAATTGAGGAAAAAATAATGTCACCTGGGCTGAGCTAGCTGGCTGATGGGAATCACCTGGAATGAGCTAATTACCTGATTGGATTCACCATTCGTAAGGGGGATGCATAGGGTAGTTACTGCTGACATACTCTTATTTTGCAGATTTTTTTTACAAAACATACTACTGAATGGACATTACATAGACATTATAACTATATGTGCTTGCATATGTTTATTTATCTACATATCTCATATCTGTTATCTAAATATATAGGACAAAAAGTATTCAAAAAATCCAAAATTTGCTTATAGCATCACAATCTGCCTTCAAGTCACAAACCTTGGCTTTTCTACCACTACCAAAGAAGTCACTTTTCCAGCCAACAAAACCAAAATACAGAACTTTATTCTGATGTCACATGTTGAAAAATAGAAGCCCTGAAAGGGATGGATGCTTTGAAGAGAATTATTCAGCATTTTCAAATTTCAGTGAGTACCTTTAAGCTGAGGCTAATTTATGTATCATCTTGTGTTCACCAGAATAAAAAGAAACATTTTTGATCTGGCCAAAGAAAAAGTAGAGCTTTAGAGAAAAGAAAAGTTATATAGGTCAGACGCTTGAAACTACATAAACATGGAAAAAGCATCTGAGAAGGAATAAGTGAATTAAAACTTTTTCTTTTTCTTAACTGATGCAACATATAATGGTTTCTTTAAAATAACAATAGCAACAATATATATGAGTATGTATACTTCTGTGTAAGTAAAATGAATGACATCAATGATATAAGCACCAGGATAAAAAAACTTGGAATACTTTAGTATTGTAAGGTACTCACAGTACCTGTGAAATGGCATAACATCATTTGAAAATGAATATGGGTTACTAGTAAATGTATAGTGTGAACTTTAGGGCAACCACTTAAAAAGTAAGAAAAAAAATTATAACTAATAGGCTAAGACAGGAGAGAAAATTAAATCATAAAATTTTCAATTTGAACCAGAAAAGGTAGAAAAAGTATGAAAGACAAAAATAGAAACCAAAAAAAAGAGCAACAAATAGAAAAGAATAACAAATATGGTGGAAATGAATCCAACTCTATCAATAATCATTGTAAATGTCAATGGTCTATTGTAAATGTCAATGGTCTAAAAACACCAATTAAAAGACAGAAATATAATAGAGCAAAAAACAAGACCCTCCAGTATGCTGTCTATGAGAAATCCACTTTGAATATAAAGACACATTTATATTAAAAGTAAGTGGATAAAGACAGAGGTATTATGGTAACACTGATGAAAAGAAACACATGTAGCTATATTAATTTCAGAAGACTTCAGAGCAAAGAAAGTTATTAAGGATAAAGAAGGGCATTATATAATAATAAAAGTGTTGATTCTCCAAGAAAACATGGCAATACTTAGTATGTATGTCCCTAATAACAGAGCAGCAAAATGCATGAGGCAAACACTTACAAAACTGCAAGGAAAAATAAAATAATTCATTATTAAAGTTGGAGACTTCAATTGCCCCCACTTCTCAGAAATAGATCTAGCAGGCAAAAAATCAGAAAGGATGTAGCTGAACTCAACAACACCAAGATCAACTCAATATAAAGGAAGTCTATATACTGCAACCAGCAATAGCAGAATATGCATTCTTTTCAAACTCACATGTAACATTTTCTAACATAGACCAAATTCGGGACCATAAAACAAAACTCAAGAAATTTAAAAGAGTAGAAATCACAAAATGTGGTCTGCTTTCAGACCACGGTGGAATTAAACTAGAAAATCAATAATAGGAGAATAGCTAGAAAATCCAACAATATTTACAGATTAAATAACACATTACTAAACAACAAGAAAAATCTCAAAAGATATTGAAAATATTTTTAATAAAACACAACTTATCAAAATTTATAGACACACCGAAAGAGGTGCTTAGAGGAAAATTTAAAATATTGAATTCATGTATTAGAAGAGAAGAAAGATCTAAAATTAACAATCTAAGTTTCCACCTTTGGAAATAAGTAAACAAGAGTAAATTAAATCTAAAATAACATAAAAATACTAAAAATAAGAGAAGCAGAAATCAATGAAATTAAAAACAAGAAATGGAAAAATCAATAAAACCAAAAGCTGGTTGTTTGAAAAGATCAGTAAAAACTGATAAGGCTCTAGCAGACTAGCCAAGAAAAAAGAAGAAATGAACACAAATTACTAATGTCAGAAATGAAATAAGGGATATCACTACAGATCCCATGAACATTAAAAGAAAAATAAAAGAATACTACGGACAACTGTATGCCTACAAATTTGATAACTTCCATTAAATGGACCAAGTCTTTAAAAGATTATTTGCTGAAACACACAAGAAGAAACAGACAATCTGAGTAGGCCTATATCTATTAAATACATTAAATCAATAATTAATAACTGCTATAGTTGGAATGTTTGTGTCTCCAAATTCATATGTTGAAATCCTAGCCACCAAGTTCATGGTATTAGGAGGGGGGGCATTTGGGAAGTATTAAGTCATGAAAGTTAGGTGATTAGTACCCTTATTAAAGAGACCCCAGAGATATGGGGTCATGGTAGAAGGGATAAGACCCCAGAGACATCCCTTATCTCTTCTGCCACATGAAATTAGAGTAAAAAGACAGCCATCTAGAAAGCAGGCCCTCAACAGACACCAAATCTGCAGGTACCTTGATCTTGGACTTCTTAGTCTCTAGAACTGTAAGAAGTAAATTTCTATTGTTTACAAGCCACCAGTTTATAGTATTTTGTTACAGCACCCCAAAGAGGCTAAGACAACAACCTTCCAAACAGAAAGCACCTGGCCCAGATAACTTTGCTGGTGAATTCCAACAAAACATCTAATTAAATAATTATAACAATACTGTACAATCTCTTCCAGAAGATAGAAACAGAGAGAATACTTCCTGATTCATTCCATAAAGCCAGCATTACCCTAATGTCAAAACCAGACAAATACATCACAGGAAAAGAAAACTATAGATCAATAATCATAAACATTTTGTGAGACACCAAAAATCCTTAATATTAACAAATTGAATCCAGCAGCATAGCAAAAGAATCATACATGACAACGATGTGGCATTTATGCCAAGGTATGCAAATCTGGTTCAACTTTTAAAAATCATTTAATGTAACCCACCATATCAACAAGCTAAAGAAAAATAGCATAATCATATCAATAAAATGGTCAAAGCACTTTACAAAAATCCAACACACGTTCATGATTAAAAACTCTCAGCAAACTAGGAGTAGAAGAGAACTTCCTCAACTTGATAAAGAATAACAATAAAAATTCTACAGCCAAGATCATATTTAATGGTGAAAAACTAGAAGCTTTTCCAATAAAATCAGGAATAAGGCAAGTATTCCCTTTCTCGCAACTGCTTTTCAACATTGCACTGAAATCCTAGCTAATGCAGTAATACAAAAAAAGGAAATAAAAGGTATATGGATTGAGAAGAAAGAAATAATTTTTTTTTTTTTTTGCAGATGACATGATTGTCTGTGTAGAAAATCCAAAGAGTAGACAAAAAAAAAAAAAAAAAAAAAAAATTCCTGGAACTAATAAGTGATTCAGCAAACTTGTAGAATACAAGGATAATATACAAAAAAGTCAAATACTTTCTTATATATCACAGTGAACAAGTGGAAGATGAAATTTAAAACACATTAACATTTAGCATCCTTCTAATTGAAACATTTAGCTTTAAATCTAACAAAATATGTACAAGATCTATAAGAGGAAAACTACAAAACTCTGATGAAAGAAATCAAAGAACTATTCAAAAATAAAGACAGTCAACGTTCATAGATAAGAAAACTCAATATTGTCAAAGTGTCAGCAATATCTAGCGATATTTCTGGTTATCACAACTGAGCGTGTGCCATGGCATCTAGGGGTAGACGTGACGGATGCTGTTAAGTATCATGTAACGCACAGGGGAATCCCCCACAACACAAAAAAATTCAACCCCTAATGTCAATAATGCCAATGCTGAGAAATACTAGATCAATGGAACAAAATTCAGAGTCCAGAAATCTGCATTTCATATAGTTGTAAGACTTTCTCCAAAGGTATGGGGGTAATCGATAGTCTTTTCTATAAATGGTATTGGAATAGACTGGCAGAGAGAAGAACGTTGACTGTCTCATCACACTGTATCTCCAAATTACCTCAAAAATTAATCATAATTAAGAATCACAAACTTAACCTAGGAAAACATACAAAACTTCTTTTGATACAAGAAAAAATCTTTGTGACATATGGTTAGGCAAAGATTTCTTACATACAACATTAAAAACACAATCTATAATAGAAAACATGATTGATATAGTTTGGCTCTGTGTCCTCACCAAATCTCATCTTGAATTGTAATAAGCCCTGTGTGTCAAAGGCAGGACCAGGTGGAGATAACTGAATCATGGGGGCAATTTCCCCCATGCTGTTCTCCTGATAGTGAGTTCTCACCAGATCTGATGGTTTTATAAGAGGCTTCCCTCTTCCCTCAGCACTTATTCTCTTTCCTGTTGCCCTGTGAAGCAGCTCCTCTGCCATGATTTTAAGTTTCCTGAGGCCTCCTGATATGGTGTCCCCACCCAAATCTTATCTTGAATTGTAGTTCCCATAATCCCCACATGTCGTGGGAGGTACCTTATGGGAGGTAATTTAATCATGGGGGCAGTTATCCTTATACTGTTCTTGTGATAGGGAGTTCTCATTAGAACTGATGGTTTTATAAGGGGCTTTTCCCACTTTTTCTTGGCACTTCTCCTTGTTGCTGTCATGTGAGGAAGGACATGTTTGTTTCCCCTTCCACCATGATTGTTAGTTTCCTGAGGCCTCCGCAATCGTGCTGAACTGTGAGTCAATTAAACCTCTTTCCTTTATAAATTACCCAGTCTTGGGTATGTCTGTATTAGCAGCATGAAACGAACTAATACTGTAAATTGGTACCACAGAGAGTGGGTACTGCTGTAAAGATACCCGAAAATGTGGAAGTGACTTTGGAACTGAGTAACAGGCAGAGATTGGAACCATTTGGAGAGCTCAGAGGAAGATAGGAAAATGTGGGAAAGTTTGGAACTTCCTAAAGGCTTAGAGGACTCAGGAGCCAGGAAGATGTGGGAAAGTTTGGAACTTCTGAGAGACTTACTTAATGGCTTTGACCAAAATGCTGATAGTGATATGGACAATAAGTCCAGGCTAAGGTGGTCTCAGATGGAGATGATGAACTTGTTGGGAACTGGGGCAAAGGTCACTCTTGCTATGCAAAGAGACTGGCGGCATTTTGTCCCTGCCCTAGAGATTTGTGGAACTTTGAATTTGAGAGAGATGATTTAGCATATCTAGTGGAAGAAATTTCTAAGCAGCAAAGCATTCAAGTGGTGACTTGGGTGCTGTTAAAAGCATTCAGTTTTATATATTCACAAAGATATGGTTTGGAATTGAAACTTATGTTTAAAAGGGAAGTAGAGCATAAAAGTTGGGAAAATTTGCAGTCTGACAATGTGACAGAAAAGAAAAACCCATTTTCTAAGGAGAAATTCAAGCCTGCAGCAGAAATTTGCATAAGTAACAAGGAGCCAAATGTTACTTGCCAAGACAATGGGGAAAATATCTCCAGGGCATGTCAGAGGTCTTCACAGCAGTCCCTCTCATCACAGACCTGGAGGCCTAGGGGGGAAAAATAGTTTCCTGGGCCAGTCCTAGGGTGGGGGTGGGGGTGGGGGTGTGGAGAGACCTCAGGACATGGTGCCCTGCATCCCAGCTGCTTCAGCTCCAGCCATGACTAAAAGGGGCCAACGTACAGCTCATGCTATTGCTTCAGAAGGTGCAAGCCCCAAGCCTTGGCATGTGGTATTGAGCATGCAGGTGCACAGAAATCAAGAATCGAGGTTTGGGAACTTCCACCTAGATTTCAGAGGATGTATGGAAATGCCTGGATGTCCAGGCAGAGAAGTTTGCTGCAGGGGTGGACCCATGATGGAGAACCTCTGCTAGGGCAGTGAGGAAGGAAACTGTGGGGTCAGAGCCCCCACACACAGTCCCCTCTGAGGTACTGCCTAGTAGAACTGTGAGAAGAGGGCTACCATCCTCCAGGCCCCAAAATAGTAGTTCCACCAACAGCTTACACTGTGCGCCTGGAAAAGCCACACTCAATGCCTGCCCATGAAAGCAGCCAGGAGGAGGCCTGTACCCTGCAAAGCCATAGGAGTAGAGCTTCCCAAGGCCTTTGGAGCCCACCTTTTGCATCAGTGTGAGCTGGATGTGAGACATGGAGTCAAAGATCATTATGGAATTTTAAGGTTTAATGACTGCCCTATTGGATTTCTGGCTTGCATGGGGCCTGTAGCCCCTTTATTTTTGCCAATTTCTCCCATTTGGAATAAGTGCATCTATCCAATGTCTGTATCTCCATTGTATCTAGGAAGTAACTAACTTGCTTTTGATTCTACAGGCTCATAGGCAGAAGGGATCTGCCTTGTCTCAAATGAGGCTTTGGACTTGGACTCTTGAGTTAATGCTGGAATGAGTTATGACTTTGCAGGACTGTTAGAAGGGCATGATTGGGTTTTGAAATGTGAAGTCAAGAGATTTGGGAGTGGTCAGGGTGAAATGATATGGTTTGGCTGTGTCTCTACCCAAATCTCATCTTGAATTTTGGTTCCCATAATCCCCAAGTGTTGCAGGAGAAACCCAGTGGGAGGAAATCATGGTGGCAGTTACCCTCATGCTGTTCTCATGATAGTTGAGTTCTCACAAGATCTGATGGTTTTAAAGGGGCTTTTCCCCCTTTGCTCGGTATTTCTCCTTGCTGCTGTCATGTGAAGAAGGACATGTTTGCTTCCCCTTCTGCTATGATTGTAAGTTTCCTGAAATGTGAGTCAATTAAACCTCTTTCATTTATAAATTACCCAGACTCAGGAATGTCTTTATTAGCAGGGTGAAAACAGACTAATAAACCTCCCCAGCCATGCAGAACTGTCAGTTAAATCTCTTTTCTTTATAAATTACCCAATCTTGGGTATTTCTTCATAGTAGTGTGAGAGCTGACTAATAACAATGATAAATTTGAAATAAAAATTAAAAAGCTTTGTTTGTCTAATGATACCATCCAAGAAGTGAAAAGGAAGACAGAAACTATGAAAAAATATTTGTAGTGCACATATCTGTCAAAGGATTTGTATCTGGAATTTATGAAAAACTCATGAATATTTACGAAAGTAGACAACATAATAAAATAAGCAAAAAGATTTGAATATACACTTTACAAAGAAAATGTACAAATAAAAAGCACATGAAAAGATGTTAACCTTCAACAGCCAAATAAGTGCAATGAGATGAAATACCACACCCCATTCCCCCAAAGCTGGCTAAAGTGAAAAAGATGGACAATACCAAGTGCTGAGAGAGCAGATCAAAGAGAATTCTCATACATTGATAGTGAGAATGTCAAATATAATAAAACTTTGGAAAAAATTTTGGCAGTTGGTTTTAAAGTTAAACATATACTTACCATATGACACAGCAATTCCTTACCTAGATATTTACAAACAAAAATAAAAACATATATATCCCCACACAGTTTATATGCAAACATTTAAAGCAGCCCCAAATTTAAGCAATCTAAATATTTAATAAGTGAATGAATAAACAAAATGCTACGTTTCCATACAATAGAATACTACTTAGCAATCAAAGGGTATAAATTATTAATACATGTGACTATATGGATGAATCTCAAAAAAATCTAGACACACAAGAAGCACCTAGACATACAAGAATAGATACCATATAATTCATTCTATATGAAATAACAGAAAAAATGAAACAAATCAATAGACAGACTATAGATTAGTGGGTTGTCAGGATCCAGAGTTTATAGAAGGAAGGTAATTATAAAGGATAAGAGAACTTCTTGTGTTGATAGAAATGTTCTATATCTTGATTGTTGATGATAGATATATGAGTGTATATATTTCTATAGAATGAGTACATTTAATTTTATGTAGAGCTCACTCCAAAAAGTTGATAGATTTGGGGAATACAGAATAAATATATAACCTAGCTCTCATGGAATTTATATTCTAGCACTCAATTCAACAAAGTACTTGTAACTCTAAGGGAATAAACAGGAATATGTTTAAAATGTGTGTGGGTTGCTATCGGTTATTTTTGACAAGGCATTATGGGCAAAAGCCAGGCTTGGTTTTCTTTTTTAATAAAAGATTAAGGGCAACATAATAATACAGATAGTGTCTCTATCTTATGTGTATTGGTAGCATTTTATATATATCTATTAATAGCACTTAAGGAATTATAAATAGCATATTGTACTTATCCTTTATAGGAATTTGGATTTTATAAGTAGTGATGGAAAGTAACTCAAAAAAAATTCATAAATGCTATAATCAAAGATACAAATAGTATTTAAAATTATATTTACATCTATACACATGTATACCCCACTGCATACACACATAGGCCCCTCAAAATATTTGCTTACCTAAGACAGGTTAGTCTCCACTCATTGCTTCCTTCTTAGGACTCCACTCCATCAATTTTTTTTTTTTAATCTTTCTAGACTGGGGCTCTCGCCCATACATTTAAATGAGCTCTACTTCTAGGCCGAAATACAAGGGAAACCAACAAATAAAAATGTTTCCACTTCATAGGTCCCTCTACCTACAGTGTTGTCTCTTACTTTTATCATCTAAGCTCCTCAAAGACTTGTCATCTGTTTCTTTACTTTCACCTTTCATTTACTTCTCATCCTGTAATCTACTTTGTTCTTCCACCACTCTGTTGAAACTACTCTTGTTAGTGATACTTTCTTGTTGCCATATGAAATGGTCATTTATGTGTCCTTATCTTGTTTATTCTGCAAACTTTGAAAATGTTAGCAACTCTCTCTTTGCAAAATGCTCTGTATTTCTGGGTTTCCTACTATCTTTCTTTCCAGAGAGTTTCCTTCATGAGCTGTCTTAGCCTATCCCTTATATGTTAAGGTCTCTCAAAGTTGAATTATTTTCTCATTTTATATATTCTCTGATCTCATCCATAGATACACTTTCAATGACCATCTATATACTTAGGACTATATACTTACATGACTTTCAAATTCATCTATTACCAGCTTTCTCGTAAGTTCTCCACCCTGGATTCAACTGTCTGACAGCTCTGGCATCTTGCACAGGCAATATAAACTCAACATATCCAAAACTAAAAATTTTCAACCCAAACCATGCTTCGTGTCTTAAGTTGCCTATTTCAGTGAATTGCCAAAACCAAAAATTTGGACCCCATACAGAAAAATATATTCTATTACATAAAAACATACTTATATATATAAAATATATGTGTTTGTGTCACAAACACACACACACATGCCCACACACACACACACACACACACACACACACACACAAAATCTCCTTTATCAATGAGCATCTACTGCTGCTCTTGTATTCCCACAAAGTCTCCGGTTTCTCTTCCCTTAATATCACTCAAAACCATCAAAATCTCTCTATTCTTACCCACACACTTTAGTTTGGGCTACCAACATTCTCATTTGGGTAGCTAAAATAGCTGTTTAACTATTTTACATGCTACTAATATTCCCTCCGATCAATTTTTATACTTTAGCCACAGTAGTATTTCTAAAATGCAAATCTGAACAAATGTCACTTCTCTAGATAATCCCTTTTAATAGCACCCAATGTTCTTTCAGACAATGTGGCAGGTAAGGTCCTTTATGATCCTTCCTATGAAATATAGTCATTTTTCATTTAGCACCCTCATATGGTCTTACCCTTAACACTTATATTTTCTCAAATGAAAGATTTTTAATATGCAATTCCATCTGCCTCTTTCATGCTAATCTCTCAGTTCTGACCTCACTTAGATGCCTTAACTTTGAGAGAACTCATCATTAGTCCTATAAGTCTTCCTTCACCTAATACTATGGAACTTTATGCCCTTGAATGTAGTTTTGTATTACTATTTATTCCATCCTAACTTATATGATTTTAAAATTATATCATCTGTTCTACTGCTTACTAGAAGAACTATGTCTCACTCCCTCTCTCACTGTTACGTTCCTATAACCAAGCCGAGTGCCATGTCATACAAAAGTCCCTCATTAAATAAAGAGGAGAGAGGGACTGTGATACACTAAGAAATACACTGGTCTTTGTACAGTGTCATAAAGCACAGCACTTCTATGTATTCAGCAACCCAGAAGCTTTCTGAACTCCTTCATTTAGGAGTTTCATTATATAGGTGTAACTTATTAAGCCATTGGATGCTGGAGGGATGAGGCTGAAAGTTTCAACCCTTTATTCATGCCTCGGTTTTTCTGATGATAGCCCCCATGCTGATCTCGAAGCTACCACAGATACTCTTATCACCCTGAAAATTCCAAGATTTTAGGATCTCTGTACCAGGCTCCTTCCTTCCCCATAACTTGTCCTATGTATTTCTTCCATCTGTCCATTCCTGAGTTGTATCCTTTATGACAAACCAAGAAACGTAAGTAAAATGTTTCCCCGAGTTCTGTGAGCCATTCTAGCAAATTATCAAACTGGAAGGGGAGACCAGTTGTGGAAACTCATAACACTGTAGTCAAGTCAGAGGAAAGTGTGGGTACCCTGGGGACCTAATACTTGCAACTGGCATCTGAAGTGAGGTCAGTCTTCTGGGACTGAGCTGTTAAACTTGTGAAGTCGAACGTTAACTTTGATGAGTTAGTGTCAGAATGGAATTGAATTGTAGAACACCGATTTGGTGTCCAGGCAGTTGGAGAACTGGTTGTTGATGCAGAAAACTCCCACACATCTGGTGTCAAAAGTGTAAGTTGAAACAGTACAGAGGAAGAAAAGGTTGGTCTAGTATTCATATACAACAGTGACACCAAAGTAAATTTTGTAAAAAGTAAAGGTTCTTTGACAAGACAACATATGAAATACCAGTAACAAACTTTTCTTCTAAAGACTAGAAATTAGAAAACCTGAATCCCAGCCCTGGTTCTGATACTAGCTATACAAACAGTCTTAGCTAAGAATTACAAAGATAATGCAGCCAATAAACACCCAGAATATGTCAAGCTCTAATCTAAGCACTATTGCACATCTGATGTCATATAATACATATAATAGTACTATGAGGTAGTAATTACTTGTGTATCTCATCCATAGAGGAAAAAAATGAGGCACAGAGAGATTAAGAGACTTGCCCTAAGTGACAAAGCCAGGGATCAATTCATATAGTCTGACTCTAGAGTGCAGGCTTCTAATTATTCTGCTTTAGAATTAACTGAAATTCTTAATCTGAAAAAGGGGGAGAGAGAGAGAGAGAGAGAGCAAGAAACAGAAAAGGTTGAACCAAATGATTCCTAAGGAACCATCCAGCTATTAGATTTGCGCTTTTCTCAAAGACATTTCTGCTGTTGTTAAACTGAAGGTACTAATTTCATTTCAAATGGCATCTTAAGAAATATAATTTGAAAAACAAATGTGGAGTCACCATTTCTATATGTTACATGATGTTATTAATACATACTAATCAAATCTCCCTTTAATCTTTGTTTTTTTTTTGTTTGTTTGTTTTTTTGAGACAGACTCTCTGTCGCCCAGGCTGGAGTGCAGTGGCATGATCTCGGGTCACTGCAAGCTCCACCTCCCAGGTTCACGCCATTCTCCTGCCTTAGCCTCCGGAGTAGCTGAGACTACAGGTGCCCGCCACCACACCCGGCTAATTTTTTGTATTTTTAGTAGAGACGGGGTTTCACCCTGTTAGCCAGGATGGTCTCAATCTTCTGACCTTGTGATCGGCCCGCCGTGGCCTCCCAAAGTGCTGGGATTACAGGCGTGAGCCACTGCAACGACTAATCTTTGCTTTTTAAGTAGCACTTAAAAAGCATCATACTGAACCGCTTATAATCCTATAAACGTCCTGGGGTGTTCTTCACCAAGTATATCCAATCAACAAACAGGGGATATCTTTCCATTTCGTTACGTCATTTTAAATTTCTTTCAGCAATGTTTTGTAGCTTGTAGAATACAAGTTTCTTATCACCTTGGTTAAACGTAGATACTATTGTAAATGAAACTGCTTTCTTAACTTCCTTTCCAATTTGTCATTTCTGGTGTGTAGAAACACACTGATTTTCATGTGTTAATCTTTTAATCTGTAACTTGGCTGAATCCTTTTAATAACTCCATAATAGGCCACTTTTGAGAAGGCATTATAAGAAAAAGACAAGCTCAACACCGAATTCATAGAAAAAAGAAAATTCTCAAGCATCAAATCACAGGAAATAGAAAAGTACAGAAATCTGAAGACTTGCATGCACAACCACTTAAGAAACAACTGAGAAGGCTTTCAGCAACAAATACCAACTACATTTGGCCTTGCAGCAAGTAGTAAACTAAGTATGTTAGCCACACTCACTATTAAAAACTCAATAAAGTGCCTCCAAGCACAGATAAAATAAAGCTATGGCTGTTTTAGGCTATATGGTTTAGGGAAAAGAGACAAGATTTCTTCCACCCTAGTTTGATAAAATGAACATATCTCTGCAATAAAATAGGAGAGACAGACAGACAAATATGAGGTTCAAAGCATATAAACATATTAAATTTAGAAAGCGGTTCTCTAACTTTACAAAGGCAGGCTAGTAAAAAAAAAAAAAATTTCAAAAAGAAAAAAAAATACAAAGTAGTTCTCTAAAACAACTGTGGATACGGCCTTAACAGAGCTGACTACTATAAAGGACAAGATACCAAAGGAATCATTACCCTTAACTGTAACTATTTGCTACTTAAAACGACCCCTGGGCTCCCAATATTTTGTAGACAGGAAGCAGGTTCAGAAATGGTATAATCTTCAAAATCCATTTGAAATATAGTAAACAAAGATACTGAAAAATAAAAAACCTACAAGACCCCAAAGAGCAACAGACTAGGAACGCTGTCAAAAAAAACTCTGAAAAGATAATCATGGGAAATGAAAGAGCAATCCCTACTCGTGGGCAGAGGCTCTTATTTAATCTATCCAGTGAGATTTTAAAGTTGTTACATACTAATGATAGCTGTGTGTCTCTAATTTTTCACCTTTCCTATTGAAAATGTTTACAGTAAATACCCTACCTTTGTCTCACCACTGTATACTAGGCATGTTGGGAATAAACAATTTAGATTTTAGTTCTACTTCTTCAGGTCAAAAGGGACCACATCTGGACCTGATAATGGAGAGAATACAGCACACTATTCCCCTCCTATTTTCCCAGAGTTCCTGGACTTTTGAGCTTGAGGCCATGGCTGAATGGAACTTTTAGATTTTCTCCCAGGAGGACAAGATAGGTTAATTTGCCTGTGAGATAGAGACTTTGACTATTTGGTGAACAAAAGAAAAGAATGTGGTATATTTGTGCTATTCACTAAGTATTTCCAGTTCTCTCCCTTCTAAGTTCATAGTAGGCTCTCACTCTCTGGCCCCATTGTGATTGGGTGGAACCATGTGGATATAAATTGAAATCGAATGTGTCATTTCCAGGCCAGAGTATTTAATTACAGATACAAATCTAACACGGCTCTCTTTCACTTCGAAATTGTATCAGGTAATGTTCCACGTCGCAATTACAATATCAGTAGAGTTCCCAGGGTGAGGACAACATGAGACAGGGCCCCAAGACAGACCTCAATGAGTATGTAGCATGAGTAAAATATAAACTTTTGCTATTTGAAGCCAGAGAGTTTAGGGCACAACCAAGTCCATTCCGGCTAATATATGCCTCATGCTGTTTCTATCCATTCATAAAGTTTTATATTTCATATCTCTGGCAGCCTGGTATTTCACTACCTAAAACAGTATAATTGTATTTGTGTATTTCTCTGTGTATTTCCTCTTCCAAGCCACTTATTAAAATGACATTGAAAAATACTTAATAGAACTGACCCCAATCTTGAGAATAAGGTGGTATATTTATAATCTCCATTTAAATTCTACTCCTAATTTTATTTCTTAATTCTCAGTAAATTTTCTTCCAATGATATAACACAGATGCTCTATATGAAGTCAATTTAATTTTCACATTCCAAATTTTATATCTTTGAGAAATATTACTAGGAAATTCTTACATACATTATTTATGCTATGACACATCTATAAATCTTCAGCTGCTTTGTTTAATGTAAAGCAGTGAATAATTTAAGCTAAGATATTAAATCAAGAAAAGAAAAAAATTTGAATAGAAAAACTCAAATAGAAGCCAATGCCTGTACAGAATGAAAGGTAACATAAACATACATAGGTGCTTTAAAAATTCAAATGTTATTTATAAATCTTATCTCACTAAAAATCATTTACTCGCCATAATGCATTCATAGATATCTCTTTGCTTCTGTTATTTGGAGAATATATTATAACCCATAAATTAACACAAGAATAATCATTAATGTGGGGGAGACCCACATATTTCAGGTCTTACGTTCTATTTTGAGTCTGTCATAAAATTCTCAATCTTTGAGTTTACATAAGCACATTTTTTCTCCAAAATACACCAAGTAAATGGAACAGAACTGAATAAACAGTTATAGAGCTCTCAGGGGAGAGAGTCAGGGGAAAAGTATAAATATATAATGGATGTGCACTTTTATTACCTGAGCATTTAGCAACTCCTCACACTTGTGTGCCTGTTTCTCAATTGCAGAAATGTACTGTTTTTCAATAGCTTCTACTTGTTGCTTAACTGAAGACTGCAGTAGTGCCTGAAAACAAGCAAAAAAGTCATTTGGATCACAGACAAAACTTGGGAATCTACTGTTGGCACGAGAATATTTTTGACAGTTGTACATACTGTAATACGATATTCTCCTAAATTACAAAATATGTATTTGTTAATACTGAAGCACATTTATATATAACATTACTTTCAGCTTTTGCTTTTACATTTTCCTATTGCCAAGATAACAATTTTTTGGCTCAGACGTTCCTTCCACACATCTTCTCCTTAAAAAGGCCAAGTCACAGAAGATGATAGAGAGGGTGAGTAGTTCTGTTAAATATAAATTTGGTTCAGTGAAGACCACACAGGATGAAGAGTGTATGAAAGCTGCTGAAAAAAAAAAAAAAAGAAAGAAAAAGAAAAAAGGAAAAAAAGGCCAGACATATTTCACTGGCTGACAAAACTCCACATCCTCTCGGCACACTGTAATATCCCATGGGCCAAGCATGATCTTCAAGACCACAAGTCAAGTAAAAGCAGATGGAAACTCTGAGCAACTTCAAACATTAAAGAACTGCCCCCCAG
Organism: Homo sapiens; assembly: GCF_000001405.40. Lineage (NCBI taxonomy): Eukaryota > Metazoa > Chordata > Mammalia > Primates > Hominidae > Homo > Homo sapiens. The sequence goes on along the minus strand of NC_000012.12, from coordinate 28,390,761 downwards.
GAAGTTCACGCTCCTAATGTGAAAAGGTATAAGTCAAAGTAGGTAAGTCAAGAGTCTCAAGGCAGTACGCATAAAAAGTAATAAAACTTGGGAGGCTGAGCATACTTAATTGGATACTGTAAATGCTGGAACTCAAGTCAGATAAATATAAAGATATTACCACTGTTTCAAGGAAAACCAAATCAGCATTTGATGATGTTTCACCCACTCACTTCCTTATTAGAGATGCTTAGAATATTATCATCTTTTTTCTTTCTCTCTGTTTAGCTTTGTATGTTATATCAACAAGTTCTCAGTAATATCTTTCATGCTATTTATAAACTCTAAATCATTCTATAAGAACTCTAGCAAATATTCTATTTTTAGATGTCTGTTTAAACTACTCATAACCAAAATAATAAGTTGAAACAGACATGTCTTATAGAAAACAGACCGTTGGCATATTCACCAAGAAAAAAAAAATCAGCCAAATCTCTTAATCTCTGTTATGAATACAGATTTACTTGGTTGAAAACACCATGTATTAAGATGCTGGATAAATAGGCATGTATTTTTAAAAGCTGAGACAAAAATATTTTTAAAACTTCTAAATAAGTCTCAAATTTTCAAACTAACTTTCTTGTGCAAAAGTAAGATTCTCTGATGATGCTACTACTCCTACAATTCAGTATTCGTCACTATGAAGCTGCAAATTACTAGCACATTAGTAAAGGAAAATAAAGCTCTGAGTTTTATCAAAATATAAGGAAAATGCTTACTAGAATTGCTTTAACCCTTGATTTACAGTGTCTTCCAAAGATTCCACAATGATTAATTTATGTAAGGCACAAAAGCTTAATCCTTTTAAAATGTGACTAGATGATATAAATCTAACTTACCTGTGTGGAAACATACCATTTGTTGGGATTTCAGAAAAGTTAAAAAATAATATAGTTATAAAAAATTCCCTTAGAATAATCACAGCATCTTTTGTAAAGAGAAAAAAATGTCATTCTATTTAGGGACTTAGGGTATTATAGAATCATTTTGCTTAACAGAAAGAACTGTGTTCACTTCCCTATTTGCCATGGTTCCAAATAATCCCACAATTTAAATATTCAATATTTAAATACTCAATATTCAACTGCAATTTTTAGTATATTATATCCTTTGGAGGACAGGTAAGTTAATAAAATAAAATAATATTCTCTCTCCATAATTAAGAAGTACAATTTGAATAAGGTAGTCTTCCTCTAGGGGTTGATTTGTACACTATATACTCATTCTCCTTGAAATGTCAAGGAGGATAATGAGTAAAATAAGAGCCAAAGATGTGATAAGGGAGCATAAAGGAAAGTTATGCAAGAGTAACTGGCCTCTTATATATTTCAAATGTCTCATTTTAGCCCCATTCAGTCATTTAAATCCATGGATCAACAAAAGGCCCACAAAGGTAGGTATATAAGGATTTTTTTTTAAAAGTCTTCCACATTGCGCCCAGTCTGAAGTTGAAGACAATCATTCCCTTGATCATCACACACTGTAGGTATATGCAGGATGGGTATCAGAGAAAGAAAGTTGCCCCAACCCTGGTGACCTGTTAGACTCACCACTATACACAAAGAACATTCAGTAGATAAGAATAGCTGTTCCTTGTCGATTCCGGATATTAGTCCTTTGAATCAGATGGTGAAGATTTTCTCCCACTCTGTGGGTCGTCTGTTTACTCTGCTGACTGTTCCTTTTGCCATGCAAAAGCTCCGTAGTTTAAGTCCCACCTATTTATCTTTGTTTTTATTGCATTTGCTTTTGGGTTCTTACTCATGAAATCCTTGCCTAAGCCAATGCCTAGAAGGGTTTCTTCAATGTTATCTTTCAGAATTTTTATAGTTTCAGGTCTTAGATTTAAGTCCTTGATCCATCTTCAGCTGATTTTTGTATAAGGTGAGAGATGAGGATTCAGTTTCAATCTCCTAGATGTGGCTTGCCAATTATCCCAGCACCATTTGTTGAAAAGGGTGTCCTTTCCCCACTTGTTTTTGTTTGCTTTCTCCAAAGGTGGTATTTTGATGGAAATTGGGTTGAATTTGTAGGCTGCTGTTGGCAGTATGGTCATTTTCACAATATTGATTCTACCCTTCCACGAGCATGGGATGTATTTCCATTTGTGTCATCTATGATTTCTTTCAGCAGTGTTTTCTAGTTTTCCTTGTAGAAGTCTTTTGACGCTTTGGTTAGGTATATTCCTAAGTATTTTATGTTTTTGCAGCTATTGTAAAAGGGGTTGAGTTCTTGATTTGATTCTCAGTTTGGTTGCTGTTGGCGTATGACAGAGCTACTGATCTGTGTACATTAACTTTGAATCCTGAAACTCTGCTGAATTAATTTATCAGTTCTAGGAGCTTTTTGGAGGAGTCTTTAGGGTTTACTAGGTATACAATCATATCATCAGCAAACAGCAACAGTTTGACTTTCTCTTTACCAATTTGGATGCCCTTTTTCTTTCTATTGTCTGATTGCTCTGGCTAGGACTTACAACAGCAAGAAAAAAATAAACAATCCCATCAAAAAGTAGGCTAAGGACATGAATAGACAATTCTCAAAAGAAGGTATACAAATGGCAACAAACATATGAAAAAAATGTTCAACATCACTAATGATCAGGGAAATGCAAATCAAACCACAATGCAATACCATCTTACTCCTGCAAGAATGGCCGTAATCAAAAAATAATAGATGCTGGAAGGGATATGGTGAAAAGAGAACAGTTTTACACTGCTGGTGGGAATGTAAACTAGTACAACCACTATGGAAAACAGCGTGGAGATTCCTTAAAAAACTAAAAGTGGAAATACCATCTGATCCAGCAATACCACTACTGGGTATGTACCCAGAGGAAAAGAAGTCATTATACGAAAAAGATACTTGAACACACGTTTATAGCGGAACAATTCACAATTGCAAAAATGTGGAACCAGCCCAAATGCCCATCAATCAACGAGTGGATAAAGAAACTGCGGTATAAATATATGATGGAATAGTACTCAGCCATAAAAAGGAATGAATTAATGGCATTCACAGAAACCTGGATGGGACTGAAGACTATTGTTCTAAGTGAAGAAACTCAGAAATGGAAAACCAAACATCACATGTTCTCATCTATAAGTGGGAGCTAAGCTATGAGGCTGCAAAGGCATAAGAATGACACAGTGGATTTTGGGGACTTGGGGGAAAGGGTAGGAAGGGGGTGAGGGATAAAAGTCTACAAATTGGGTTCAGTGCATACTGCTCAGATGATGGATGCACCAAAATCTCACAAATCACCACGAAAGAACTTACTCTTGTAACCAAATACCACTTGTTTCCCCAAAATCCTATGGAACTAAAAAATTAAAAACAAAACTAATAGCTGGAGTACAGAAGCTGGAGTTAAGAGTGGAGCTAAATGATTAGGCAAGAAGGCAGGTGTCGGGTATTAAAAGAACTTGTATAACAACAAGGAGTTTAAGCATTGGTCCTATGGCTCAACATTGTGTGATTACTAGTGCCACAGTCCAAGCAAATAAGGTAATTTCCAAAACTGTCCCTACTATTAGATTAAGCACTGTGGATATACAAATACACATTGATACTAGCCACATGCCTTTATAAGTTGCTCTATTATTGTATAACTGAATATTTATCTTCCAGTTTAATATATCATAATACACAGAGATTCCTTTACGTTTCTCACATCTCATAATATAATCTTAACATTTGCTGATTGTCTTCTTCTGTAACTGTCTCTACAGATACCCAAGACAAAGAGGCTTCCTTGAGCTTCTACAACATTAAAAAAAGATATATGAAAGAATAATTTCATTTCTAATCTATTTTCAACTATTCTAAACACCCATAAAGCATTAAGACTCTCACAGTATATACAGATAGAAATGCCAAGATACATACCAACATATTCTATATATAAAAGAATGCTATCAAGGGCAGAAAATGTTTTGTTGATTTTGAACATATTTATGTCTTAGCTACAGTTTTATCAGAGATTTGTAGTATTATCCAAGAGGATTTAATTCACTAAACTTGAGGAAAACTATCACACTTTAAGAATAATTTTTAGGCTGGGCAGAGTGGCTCACGCCTGTAATCCCAGTACTTTGGGAGGCCGAGGCGGGCGGATCACGATGTTGGCAGTTCGAGACCAGCCTGACCAACGTGATGAAACCCCATCTCTACTAAAAATACAAAAATTAGTGGGGCATCGTGGAGTGCACCTGTAATCCCAGCTACTCAGGAGGCTCAGGCAGGAGAATCGCTTGAACCCGGGAGGCAGAGGTTACAGTGAGCTGAGATCATGCCACTGCACTCCAGCCTGGGCGACAAGACCAAGACTCCATCTCAGAAAAAAGAAAAAAGAATAATTTTTAAAGTGTTAAAAAATTTGTAGGTCTCTTAATACGGGAACTATAACTTCATGAACAGCTTTTTAGACTGCCTTGTACATAACCAGCTGATGTAATAGCTACTTGGTAAGTAATGATCCCTGTGTGAAAACTGATATTACATAAATATATACTATCAACAGTACCAATATTTATTGAAAAGTTCACTAAGCTACAAATTATAACTACCAAGACAAGTCACCAAAATTGTTACCAAGTCCATTTGGTACCGACCAGAGATCTCAATTTTTTAAGTTATTATCTAAGACAAGAAATATTCATTCTTTTTACTCCACGGGCTCAACTGTGAGTAAATAGTGTGAAGGACTATAAATTCTGGGAAGGAAAAGTATATTATAAACTCATAGAAAACAAAGGTATTAAGTCAAAAATCATGCCACACCACCCCAACTGTTAATACACGTGAGAATTAGATGTGTATTTCTTTAGTGGAACTGATTGCATGCTGGAATTTGAATGACATAAGTATAGCCAAAGTAGACTACTGCAACCCAGACTACAGTCCATTGTCCCAACAAATCCACAGATTTCTCCTCCCTTGAAATAGCCCCATTGTTTCAGATCTGATTCCAGCCTCATCAAATTAAATGATTGTCCAGATTTGCAGAGCAGATGTGTCTAAGGAATAAGGTCTTCAAAATATTAATATCATCTTTGTACTGATTATGTGACCATAAAAGAATCCTACATAGCTAACTGTAAGCAACAATAATTAAATTATATTGAAAGTCACAAAATAATTTTATCTAACAACCCATTAAGTCATACTTTACAAATGGAGAACAATATAAAGATACAGTGCAAGCAGGAAGCAAAACGTATAACAAATATAATCTCTCAACTAGAATTTAAGACCTAAGAGACTAGGAATCTGTGTTTACCTCACTGATAATACCCAATGCACCTACAACAGTGCCTGACACATAGAAGATATATGACAAATACATTGAGTAACTAAACAAATTAATCATGATTTAGGCAAGCCTGATTATTTGTCCCTTCATACAGAAATTATTAAAACTTTTATGTTGATTATACCTGTAATTATACACTTAGTTTAGCTTGAGGATAATAGTATATACAAAATAATCATAAAGTATCATCTGAAATCAACCACAATTTCACCTTTCTTGGAAAAATATCACAAATTATTTAAACATCTTTTTTCTATCGTTTAAAAAATTTATTTCTATTATTTCTTCTGTTTTCTCATTTTTAACTAAAAATAACATGAGCAAAACTGAAAGGTATCTGCCAAATGAATAAGCTAAAGCTATGAAGAGATATTTTTATGTTTTTTTTCTGGTACAAGCCCTTTTTTCAGCAAAATATTACTTCAAGTTTTGTAAGGATATTAAATTGTTAGCATGTCTTATCATATCCCCTCAAAACTGCAAACAAATCGTAAGTTTATTATTCAAAAAGAGAGCCTACTTGAATGAGGTACATTTGTAAAAATGATGAATCGCAGTCGTTTTACAGAATCATTCATCTATTTTTCCTCCATGAACTTTACATACCTGCCTTACAAATGAAGACAGACACTGTGGTTAATAAATATGGCCAAAATCACATGAAAAGACACAGTGGTACAAAAAAAAAATCAGTTTTAACCATTTGTTTCCATTTGTCTTAGCTTTTCTAGCCCAGTAAAGCAGATTTCTCTTTTCGTGGACTAAGCAGCTATTTCATTTTTATCAGTCACTCAATTATTCATTTATTATTCATTTAGTCAATAAATATTTTCCTAAACACTGTTCTAGGTACTGGAAAAATACCAAAGACACTCAAATGCTATTAAAATTTTCTCCATTAATGGACAACGTGTAAGAATGAAAATATGTAGCATTGATTTTGGTGGGCTACACATATGCATGGAAGTTAGAAACTGATAATTCATGCACCATGCATGAACTTTTTTGTATATGCTCTAGAATTAAAGATAATGCAATTATTCTCTCTGGTAGTGAAAGAGTTAATCCTAATAAGAACTACATGAGTTTATGTTTTTACATGTTCTTGCAAGCAGTACTGTAAATATACTTACTATCAGTAATAATTATATATTTACTGCAAGTACATCTATGAAGTAATAATTACTTGAACCTCATCTGGATACTTTGTCTATTAATATACATTTCTTCTGCAATACTTACATTCTCCATTTTATCATGAAGAGACTGGTTAAAAAAAGACTATGAAAATGAAGAAATAGTATCCAAATGATGGCAAATGACTAGATTTGGCCCTGAATGCTGTTCTTGGTTACCAACTTGTCTTAATCCCCAATGGCTCTTGGCTTAATTAAATATATCTTTAGCCAATTTGGAGGTCTAAAACTTCAATCTATAGCTTTGTTTGCCTATAATTCAGAAGAATAAACTGATAGCTTGATTTAATTATGCATACACACAAATACACACATAGCCATGTATTTTAAAAGAGCTTCAGATCAGTGAACCAATAATCTCTGAGGTACATGGTTGTATTAGAGGAGAAACATTAAGCATCTCTGAAAACAGTATTTAGACGTTTCAGAAAATTTTGTTGGAATATAAAAGAAATAATATGAGTAAAATCTATCATCAAGAGATGATCTAAAAGTTCAATGTAAAATTCTTTGTAATTCTCTGGGACAAACACTCAATTTAGATTTAAAAATTTCATTTACTCAAATCTGGATCCAAATTCAAGTCCAGGATCATGGTCTCCCGCAGCCCAGCCAGGCAGAAGTTAGGCAACATCCAGACTCTGTGAACTCAACCTTTGGGAAGAATGAAGGTACATGTTTCTCAAGAGTAAATTACAGTTGTCTGAAGAGTGATAGTGATGGAAACTATTACCTAAAATTTTGGAAAAGCTGAATTAAGAAACAAACAAGTTCTCCCTTCCAAATTTTTCCTTAATTTAAAAAAGGAAGAGAAGTAGCAAGGTCAAGTTGAGGCTGCTGAAAATTTATCCTGTTACAGATCTGAAGCATTTGGAATTGCAATGAATCTCAGATTTTTCTGTGTATTTGAATTACAGTGCAGTAGTACTACACAATTCAAAAAGGAAAATGTTAACTTATGGGTGTAGATCTAAACATGAAAATTCAATAAAGTCTAGCCACGCTATAAAGTGCCTTGGAAGCTGTGAAAGCCAAAGAAAATCTTCAGGACACAGGGAATCATTCCTGTTGGCCTTGTTGTTAAGGGAATCTAGTAACATAAGAGTTGTTACCTCAAACACCACAAAAGTCTCCCAGTGAAAATTTCTTTTGTGCCATGGACAACACATTAAAATTAAGAAGTTTCTAAAATTAAGTACAGCACAGAGACTCTGCATGTCTGCCTTCCAGATACTTTAACCTTTTGAAAGGCTGCCATATGGATATCCCTCTCCCTCAGATGCCACATTATTCCTTGTGACTTGAATAAGAGCTACAGTTTCAGTTTAAAAAAAGGAAAGGGAAAAAAAAATTCTGACCAAAATAACCTCTTCATAATCATTCATACAATTAAGTAGAGCACCTAGTTATTAATACAGTAAAGGCCTATGCATCTCATTTTCTGAAATATAAAATCACTGATCATGGGAAGAAATAAACTCATCTAGATGTCTAAAATATTTGTTTAAATACATATGAATTAACTTTGCAAGGAGGCGGTATACTCTTGAAAAGAGCCCTGAATCAAGCCTTAAATGATGTGGCTTTTATTTACAACTCCTCTTCTGTTGGTTACATGTGTTCCATCAAGGCACCATGTTTCTCTATGTATTAGATTCCTCATTTTATCTCATATATGAGGAGAAGAAGAGTTTCTTCTCTCCCAATGATGAAGGCATTCTGACAAATTATGACACTTAATTTTTTTTTACATTAATGGTGAAATCCTGTATTCTAACAGTTTGTTGTTTGAGAGTTAAATTACCTACTTTTTATGACATAGGAAATTCATGTTCTGTGGATTCAACCTAGGATCAACATTATTGTTTTAATTACTAGGTTTATGATGATTAAAATAAATATTTTAAAATTTATTATAAATATTATTTTAAAATTAGTATTTTCCTCCCAATTAATTCAGTTCCATTCATAAAATATAGATCTCAAAGATTAGAACTTTTCCTCATACTGAAAAGCCATCAACATTAAGAGATTACAGGTTTGACTTAAATCAATGTTATTACAGCAAACATGTTAAGACTAAATTTTGAGGCAGACTAGATTGTGAGACTAAGTGAATGAGTTTGTGAACTTAGATAACAAGTATAAATACTTCTATTAGTTATTTCTCAGTTTAAAGTTACCATTGGTACCTGACAGATGTGATTACATTAAGGGTGAATAAAAATATTTAAAATCCATCAGTTTGGGCATCAAAAAATTAGAAGAGATGCCATCCCCAGAACAGATACAGGGCCAGAGGTCCCCTGCAGTTCCAAGCTCCACCTTGACTGTGAGTTGAGAAGAAGCCTCAGAGGAAGGGACAAAGCCATCCAAGTGGCTCAGGGTAATTATTACTATAGTAAATGATATGGAAATACCTCACTATAATAAAATGGCACCAAGTAGTGCTTGCTGATTTAACAACAGCTCAGATTGGGTTGTTACAAAATTATCAAAAAAATTGGCTACATGAATATCCTACTAAAACAACAAAATACAGTAACCTTTGAACTTGATGAACTGAGTAAAATGAACTAAAGCAGACTATGGATTAGTTCTCAAATGGAATTTGCCTCCGATTGCTATAAAGCAATTTGACAGTCAAATTACCGAAAATCAGAAATGTGACAACTTTATGCATATTATCCCATCTCTGGAAAAGATAAAGGAAAAAGAGAAGACTGATGCCCAAATACCAATGGGAGCAAAATTAATTTTTATAATACATAATTCTATATCTTTTCAATTTTGCATTAAGTGCATATGTTACCATGACAAAAAAAAATGATATTTTGATAAGGCAAATTATTATATCCCCTATTAATTTATCCTTGGTATAAAATCAATATTCTCATAAATCAGGTTTCCCAAAGTTGATTACCTAGAAGGTAGGGATTAAAAACAAAACATCCATTTTAATATTGGGTTGCAATCAGAAACAAAACAGACATATTAAAATGCTATTCTCTCTCACATTAATTATTACATCTCTGCTTTTCTTTTCAGTCTGTTTTATAGTTCAGAATAAATAATAAATTTAACCATTCTCAATATCTATTCAAACCGGAAAGAAATTTAAAAATCAAAAGTAAACTTTTACAGACCATCATCTTTACAAATAGTTTTTTGTGTATATATCCTTAATGAGTGTAAGCATGTCTAAATTTCATCAGTTTATCTCCCTTGCCTGTAACAACTATATTGTGTGGCCTTTCACAAACAGAAATATTGGTGGCTAATAAATAAAAATAAATCTGTAGCACACACATACAAGTACTTTTCCTGCAGTATAATTAGGTAGTGCTTTTCTCTAATACTGAAAATGCTTGAATCTAGATAGACCTTACTGATAATTCAGTTCATTAGAATAATGAAAGACTAAAAACTAAATAATTGACATTATATTGATTGATATTGTTAAAGAAATATGCCCTTTACAAATGCTACTGTATAATCAGTCCTCCAGCATTATTACTGAAGATAGAAACCTGTTGAACAAGCTTAGAAACAGATTCGAAAAAAACTTTCAACTGCATCAGAACAGGTCAAATCTCAATCAGGTCAAAATGAATAAATAATCTTATTATGGCCCTTGGAAGAAACTAATGATACAGTGGCCTGAATTTGTTATAATGAGCAGAAATCTGTAATTAATCAAGAATATTCTGATAGAATGAGACTCACATTGCTACAACATTCAGGTCTGAGCAACATTAGTCACAAATATTAACCTGATGTAGTATAAAACAGAAAAGTTCATTTTAGTAAGTGAAAAATTATTGAGAGGGAAAAGAGTTCTTACATGTCTGAAACAACTAACTAAACTCTACACATCTTTTTTATTATTATTATACTTTAAGTTCTAGGGTACATGTGCACAAGGTACAGGTTTGATACATAGGTATACACGTGCCATGTTGGTTTGTTGCACCCATCAACTCGTCAGTTACATTAGGTATTTCTCCTAATGCTATCCCTACCCCAGCCCCCCAACCCCCAACAGGCCCTGGTGTGTGATGTTCCCCTTCCTGTGTCCAAGTGATCTCATTGTTCAATTCCCACCTATGAGTGAAAACATGCGGTGTTTGGTTTTCTGTCCTTGTGATAGTTTGCTGAGAATGATGGTTTCCAGCTTCATCCACGTCCCTGCAAAGGCATGAACTCATCCTTTTTTATGGCTGCATAGTATTCCATTGTGTATATGTGCCACATTTTCTTAATCCAGTCTATCACTGGGTTAAGTTACTAACTAAATCACTGACATTTGGGTTAGTTCCAAGTCTTTGCTATTGTGAATAGTGCTGCAATAAACATACGTGTGCATGTGTTCTTATAGTAGAATGATTTATAACCCTTTGGGTATATGCCCAGTAATGGGATTGCTAGGTCAAATGGTATTTCTAGTTCTAGATCCTTGAGGAATCACCACACTGTCTTCCACAATGGTTGAACTAATATACACTCCCACCAACAGTGTAAAAGTGTTCCTATTTCTCCACATCCTCTCCAGCATCTGTTGTTTCCTTTTTAATGACTGCCATTCTAACTGGTGTGAGATGGTATCTCACTGTGGTTTTGATTTGCATTTCTCTGATGGCCAGTGATGATGAGCATTTTTTCATGTGTCTGTTGGCTGCATAGATGTCTTCTTTTGAGAAGTGTCTGTTCATATCCTTTGCCCACTTTTTGATGGGGTTATGGTTTTTTTTTTTTTTTTTGTAAATTTGTTTGAGTTCTTTGTAGATTCTGGATATTAGCCCTTTGTCAGATGGGTAGACTGCAAAAATTTTCTCCCATTCTGTAGGTTGCCTCTTCACTCTGATGGTAGTTTCTTTTGCTGTGCAAAAGCTCTTTAGTTTAATTAGATCCCATTTGTCAATTTTGGTTTTGTTGCCATTGCTTTTGGTGTTTTAGTTATGAAGTCCTTGCCCATGCCTATGTCCTGAATGGTATTTCCCAGGTTTTCTTCTAGGGTTTTTATGTAAACTCTACACATCTTAAGGTCTTTTATCTTTGGAATTATTTTTAAAAGTCTGCTACACAACAGAAACTTGAAATTTTTATTCCTAAAATAGAATGAAGGTTTCCTCTTCATTCCTTTGACTATCAGCTAATGGACCAGTCACAGTATAAAGGCAAGCTTTAAATCTATATTAGAATGAGGCTTCTGGCAAGGTTTCCAATACCTTTTGGTTTTGGCCTGGCTTGAAAAACCACAAGAATAGCTGTGCATGCAAAGTTCTGGCTAAGCCCAGGAAACACAGAGGCACACAGAAGTATTCTCAACTACCAAATCTTTCTCAATCCTCCACTGAGGTTAAGTTGGTGGGAGGGATAAGAAAGGACAAGCCAAGTCCTTAGCTCCAAACCAATCACTAGTATCTAGCTAGCATGCTAGTGGGCCAAACTCTATTGGCAACAGCAAACATCTTTATTTGTCCAGGAAAAATCTGATCATATGATAAAAGCTGGAATTTATGAGAATCCTTATTCAATCAAATAACTGAAACTATAAATTTATTTTATACCTTTGGATTAACAAAATGGTGGAATTCAAATAAAGATATGCTGTCAGGTCTTACATATCTTAATTTTTACTTTTCCTCTCTTTGAGCAAAAACTTAGCAATATCCAATCAAGGGAAAATATCAAAGGAAGAGAAAACAAAATTGTTTCTCTCTCCTTGGAAAAGAACTTTATACAATACAAGTAACTCTACACCCTGGGAAAATATTGGTCTCCTAAATGTAATATGTTCTCCTTCATAAAACGGTACAAACAATTTAAGAGTTCAAATAAAATACTAGCAAGTGGATGCTTTTGAAAAATAAGAATACAGCAGTCATGTGATACTCAAGCTGGCATGTGACATATTTTACATTGCTAAAATTCAAAGCAATCCTTAACAAAAAGTATTTAGCATATATCTGACCTTTTCAGAAAATGCACAAAAGACCAAAACTCTCAACAAAACAAACTTTGGTTAACATAGGAAATTAGTATACTGAGAATTTTCATCACAATGATTTTAGAGCTACTAAAGTGTATGTAGCAATTTTGCATCTTTTTTCACTGTAAGTAGCAGAAATTTCATGTGCCTAATAAGTTAAAACTTCATTGTACCTAATTCAATACCCTAATATTTAAATATAAGAGGAAGAGAAAAATATCAGAAAATTATCTTCATAAAATGATCTAAGTAAAGCTTTAGAAAACAATCTCCTCATTCCTTACTTTCTCATTAAGATGGTAAAGTATTTATAAGTACTATTCAAGTGACCAGCATTGACTGGTTTTTGCCATCTGGAATATAATACACAGAATTAAAGATCACCAACTTAGTCAAGCATCAGAAACAAAGACTGCAAATGCAAAATGAGTTTGTGTGTCTGTATGTCTAGCTGTAGTGGCAATATCTTGAAATGTATAGGTACTTATAATGATAAGTTTTTAAAATGTATTCTGCTTGGCCAAATGCATGCAAACAAAATACCAGAGGGGAAAACCCTAGAGTTTGAGAAGATGATATAAAAAAATTAAAAAATAAACCCTTCTGGTTTCAAAATGAATGTAATAATAAGTAACTAATTTTCACATGTCCAAAAAACAATACAGAGAATGTTTAGTTTAGGCACCCACAGATGGGCCAAGAAACATAAATACGCCTTTAAATCAGTACAGTTATAATTTATCTGGTGTGTGCATAAAATATTAAAACAAACTACATTTTCTTTTTTGCCTTTTTCAGGCTATTTTTCTACTTAGCATTCTTTTTAATCTGTCAACTACATCAAAATTCGATAATGTTTCAACACTTTTCCTATGTGGTATAATTTGTGAAACGTCTAAATCCCTTAAGTTAAAAAACGAAAACAACAGGGAGTATAACATCAAAAAAACAAACAAGGCAAGCCAGAACCACGAAAACAACTTGTGAAAATCACTACAGAATGAAATTTTAAAAACCTCTCTAGATGAGAGTTTCAAAAGGGAAAGCCCCTTTTCTAACTGATCTATCTTTAAGTAAACACGATATTAAAAAAAAAAAAAATAGGGGGAAGAGAGGAGGCAGCTGTCATTGCCTTAAAAGAGATTCCTTACACAGTAGCAAAACAAAAGTTTTAACCTAAATGTTCATACCTTATTTGCATCAAGTTGGAATTTTTAATGAACTGAGCTCAAAATGAGACAAAATAAAAACAACATGTTGAACTTAATTTCTTGAGTGCTTTCCACTCACTATTGTACCATGTTAGCAGGAATTCCAACTTTGAATTTTAACACACTGATTGAGTCAACTAAATACTTCCTTTGGAAAATTCTTCCCAAATGTTATTTAGGATGCAAAGAACAGTCATTTTGAGAATGAGTTAACATTTGAATTGACTTTACCTCAAGCACTAATATCTACCTTATTAACTGAATAGATGTATACGGAGAAAGTTCTGAAAAGAAAAATGAGAAGTAAACACCTCTATGCAAAAAGATACTTTCTCTTTAAAAATACAAGGCATCATATTCCTTAAGCTATAATGTTACATCTATTTTAGCAAATATGCCTGTATTTTTTCCATGTATGACTTTCTTTGATAGTCCCTCTGTGCTATTATACCAATCCTGCACTATAAAGAATTCTTTTCTTACTGTGATCACTTATCCCACATCAAGGAAAACAAGGAATAAGTTTTTGTTTTTTTTAATCTTGACGTAGGACAAGTTTTTGTTTCTTAGTTACAGCTAAAACTCACTTTTTTCTTAAGTATTAAAAACAGCAGTCCATCATACACTCATTTGGTTTCTGTTAGGGTTTGTTTCATCTTTCTTATATGGAAAAAAATTCTCAGTAATTTCAATGGGATACAATATAAGCACATACACGTATGCACACCCACCCACAAAACCTTAAGAGACTCAATATTAATTAATAACAAAAATTAGAAAAATAATGGCTGAAAGAAAATAGAATACATTGACCAACAAATATAAAAAGATAGGACAATGGTTAATAATTCCCATGGGGTAGCAGAATAACTTAATAGAATTTTTTTTAAAAAAGAAAAACTCGACAAATGTCTAGCCCCTACCTACATCTACAGATTCAGAATTTCCAGGAAAGAAAACTCCTTGGCATATGCATTTTTAAAAAGCAACACAAATAATTTACTATGCACTGTAGAAGTTGAGAATCAAAGGATTAAAGTAACCTGATCAATCACAACTGTTGAGTGGACCTTAAAACAAAAAAGGATCATGCTAATACAGTTCCTCATTATCTCAAAAATATGATACTCTACATAATAGATAAGATGGTAATCTTTGATGGAGAACATTAAGATGAGACATTAAGAACTCATGAAGTCTGAGCGAGTGCATATATTAGAGAATGACAAGTTCAAGACAAAAGCCCAATTAAACAAGTAAAGGAAAATTCTTATGTTGCTTGCAGTAAACAATCTTCGATGTGGCATGTGCCTATGTAGTCTTCCAAGATGTACATTAATTTTACTGTCATTAATTATCAGAATAAAAGATTTTTGAAATCATGACATAAGAGAAAAAAATTAAGTAAACATGGGAAAATTTGGCATATGAGGCACATTAGGTTAGTTTTGTTTGTTTTCTTTTGTACTTCAACAAAATTTCACGTCCTTTTCATCAATCTGTAGCAATCTATTTATTTTCAAAGTTAACGAAAGAATGCTGCCTTTAACTGAGCCCAAGAAGGTGAAGAGATGGGCCACAATCTTTTATTCCGAAGTGGATATTTCTAAGAAGACTGAAATAAGAATCTATACGAAGACAACCAACTAATGATCAGCTATGAGATAATGAAAAAGTATTGCAATTGCTACACTAAAAAAATCTGACATGTTACATATAGAAATGATAATGATAATACCTAATATTTCTTAAGAGCTTAATTATTAGCCATGCAATATTCATTTTTCTCACTGCATCCCCACAACACTCTTATGAATAGGTTCCATGGTTTATTCCATCACTTACTGAAGAAGAAACTAAAATAGTTTAAAAAAAAAAACTGCCCAAGGTCAAAATATTAGTAAATAGCAGAAGTGGGGCTCTGATCCAGGTCTGTCTGAATTCAAAAATCTATGCTCGTAATCAGCTCTACTAACAGAAGTACTTAGCAGTCTCAAAGTATAAATTCTGGCAGGCATGTAACATTCCTTCAGGAAATCAAAGAATAAAGGTCTATAAATTATTATATAAAATCACTAAAGACAGAATAAGAATATTAGGCCTAATAGAACATAATAACTTTAGGTCTTAAATTGGTTTAAACATGGATTGGGTTACAGATTTTCTTTAGCCAGCTCCTGGAATAGATGATTTAAAGTTGTATGAACACAGAGTTACATACTCAAAATAAGTAAATTCCAGTTGGATGAGGTCAGCTAATCTCTTAAATACAGGACTATTTCTAGGTGAATCAGAATGTTCAATTATTTGTGAAAAGTTTAAGTCCTATCATAACTTACTGTTATTTTTAAATCAGAAACAGCTGATCACATGATTTGGGAGCTTTAAAAAGTGCTAGTTCATTTAAATGGTGTTAGGTACATAAGATATTGCTAATAAAAATGTGCTTTAGGATATTGTTTTATCCGATTATCCATGAGGAAAATAAATATGGCACTTTATTAAGGTTTAAATTAATATTTGAAGCAACAGCAATTTTTTAAATGATAAACCCAAAATATATATTCTGAAACTCATGAAATGTGTAATCTCAAATTATTCATGCAAAAGAACAGTCCTACATTTTAAAAAAAGAATTGGAAAAAGAAATCAGCAAAGATCCATGGGTTGAGGTGATCCAATACGACCAGATGACGTAAACAAACCCTCAACTTTTGTCAATGCACTGAGAATAAAGAGAATGTCATGAGTCTTTCATAATACTGACCTCAGGATAATCATTTTTGAAATAAAGAATATTGATAACAGAGTAACCACTATTTTAATTTGGATTAAAAAACAAGGAAAGGGGGGTGGAACTTCTGGAATGGCAATATGAGGAGCTAGCAGGGGGAACCTCTACTCCAGAATGTCATCTGTTAAGTAGGGTGTATTAGTTCGTTCTCACATTGCTAGAAGGAAATACACAAGACTGGGTAATTTATCAAGAAAAGAGGTTTAATTGATTCACAGTTCTGCATAGCTGGTTAGGCCTCAGGAAACTTACAATCATGGCAGAAGGTGAAGGGCAAGCAATGCACCTTCTTCATAGGGTGGCGGGACGGAGAAGTCCAAACAGGGGACATGCCAGACATTTGTAAAAGCATTAGATCTTGTGAGAACTCACTCACTATCACCAGGACAACATGGGGGAAACTGCACCATGATCCAATCACATCCCACTGAGTCCCTGTCACGACATGTAGGGATTATAGGAACTACAATTCAAGATGAGATTTGGAAGGGGACACAGCCAAATCATGTGACAAGGTAAACTGGCAAAGCAATCATTCAGTCTCTGGAAAATTGATCAAAGGTCTTACAACAAATTGAGAAGCATTTATTCAAAAAAAAAATGTATAGAAACTTGTATTAATAGATGTCAGTTACGAGGAGAAAGAATCAGTAAACCTTAAGAACTACTGATAAAGATCATACAATCTGAAGAACAGAGAAAGGATAAATAACAAACAAAAATGACTACACCTAAAAATCATGTGAGACCCCATTAAGAAAACTAACACATACATAATGAAAGTAACACATGAGAAAAGAGAAGTAGGAGAAAAAATATGAATGGCTGAAAACTTCCCAAAATTGATGAAAAACAATCTACACATATAAGAGGCTAAATGACTTCCAAATAGAATAAATGAAAAGACACACACCTAGAAACATCACAGTCAAAATACTAAAAGTGAAAAACAGACAATTTGAAAACAGGATAAAAATAACTCATAGTGTATAAGAGAATCTGAAAAAGATTAACAGCTTACTTCTCATATGTAGGATAGAAGGCAATGAGATGACATATTCAAAGTACTAAAATCAACGAACAAAAACTGCCTACAATCTTATTTTTTAAATAACTAACTTTAAAGAATGCAAGTGAAAAAATACACAAATTAATTGTTAGGAGATACAACTTATAATAAATACTAAAGGACCCCAACAAACTAGGCACAGAAGAGGCATTCCTCAAAGTAATAAAAGCCAAACATGCCAAACCACAGCCAACATCATACTGAATGGGAAAAATTTGAAATTATTTCCTCTAAGACCTGAAACAAGACAAGGATGCCCATCTTCACTACCTCTGTTCAACACAGTACTGGAAGTCCTACCAAGAGCAATCAGACAAGAGAAAGAAATAAAGTGCATCTAAATTGGAAAACAGGAATTTGAACTATCTCTGTTTGCCAATGACATGACTGCATACCTGGAAAACCCCAAAGACTCCTCCAAAAAACTCTTAGATTTGATAAATGAATTCAGTAAAGTCTCAGGTTACAAAATCAATGTACACACATCAGTAGCACCAATAACAACAAAGGTGAGAATGAAATAAAAAACACAATCCATTTACAATAGCTACAAAAAAAAAATTTAAATACCCAGGAATATACATAACCAAGTAGGTGAAAGATCTCTATAAGGAGAACTACAAAACACTGCTAAAAAATTTTAAAAAAAAGCATTAATGACACAAACAAATGAGAATACATCTCATAATCATGGACTGGAAGAATCAGTACCATTAAAATGACCACACTGCCCAAAGCAATCTACAGATACTATGGAATTAATATCAAAATACCAACATAATTGTTCACAAAATAGAAAAAATAATCCTAAAATTCATATAAAACAAAAAAGCCCAAATAAGCAATCCTAAGCAAAAAGAACAAATCTGGAAGCATATTTACCGAATTTCAAATTATACTACAAAGCTGTAGTAACCAAAACAGTATGGTACTGGTATAAAATTAGATACTTAGACCAATGTAACAGAATAGAGAACCCAGAAATAAAGCCAAATGCTTACAGCCAAGTGATCTTCGATAAAGCATACAAAAACATAAATTGAGGAAAGGACACCCTATTCAACAAATGGTGCTGGAAAAACTGGATATCCACATATAGAAGAATAAAACTGGATTTCCATTTCTCACCATACACAAAAATCAACTCAAGATGAATTAAAGACTTAAATCTAAGACCCAAAACCATAAAATTTGAAGAAGAAAATAAATACTAAAGGAAGTTCTTCACACTAATGCAAGCAGCTCCAGATAGTAATTTGATCTATGTGAAAAACAAAGCATGCCAGTAAAGGTAGTGATGCCACTTGATATCCAAAGGGACTGATTCCAGGACCATTTAGGATACGAAAATCTGAGATTGTTCAAGCCTCCGGCCCTGTGAAACCTGCAGATACAAAAATGTGGCCCTCCATATCCATGGATTTCTCACCTAATGAATACAATGTTCAATTCATGGATGCAGAACCCACTGGTATGGAGGGAGCAGTAATTATAAGGGTAATTTTAAATGACAGCATAATTGGATGCTGCTTCTCTTTTCTTAACTGATTTAAAAAGCAATTGTTTAAAATAATATGCATATAATTCTATTTGTACAAGAGACAAACTTTATATTCAAAGACACAAATTGGTTCAAAGTAAAAGGATGGGAAAATATATACAGCAGTCCCTAACCTTTTTGGCACCAGGAAACGGTATCATGGAAGACAATTTTTCCGCAGACTAGGGTAAAGCGGATGGTTTCAGGATGAAATTGTTAAACCTCAGATCATCAGGCATTAGATTCTCATAAGGAGCATGTAACCTAGATTTCTCACATGTGCAGTTCACCATAAGGTTTTGCATGGCTATGAGAATATAATGCCACTGATCTGAGGTGGTGGAACTCAGGCAGTAATGCTTGCTTGCCCACCAACACTTCCTGCTGTGCAGCCCAGTTCCTAACAGGCCACGAAATGGTACCGGTCCACAGCCTGGGGGTTAAGGACCCCTGCTATACAAACCACCACCAAAATAGAATGGGAGTGGCTACATTAAATATCAGAAAAAAATAGACTTTATACCAAAAAAAAAATCTTACTAGAGATAAAAAAATATGATAAGAGAGTGAATCCATCAGGAAGATTGATATGGTTTGGATCTGTGTCCCCACCCAAATTTCATCTTGAATTATAATTCCCACATGTCAGGGGAAGGGCCTGGCAGGAAGTGATTAGATCATGGAGGCGATTTCCTCCATGCTGTTCTCATGATAGTGAGTGAGTTCTCATGAGATCTGACAGCTTAAAAGTGTGGCTCTTCCCACTTCGCTCTCTCTCTCTCTCCTGCTGTCTTGCGAAGAAGGTGCTTGCTTCTCCTTTGCCTTCTGCCACGATTATAAGTTTTCTGAGGTCTCCCCAGCAATGTGGAACTGTGAGTCAATTAAATCTCTTGTCTTTATAAATTACCCAGTCTCAAGTAGTTCTTTACAACAGTGTGAAAACTGACTAATACAAAAAATTGGTACTGGGAGTGGGGAGCTGCTATAAAGACACCTAAAAATGTGGAAGCAAATTGGGAACTGGGTAAAAGATGAAGGTTGAAACATGTTGGAGAGCTCAGAAGAAGACAGGAAGATGTGGGAAAGTTTGTAACTTCCTGGAGACTTGTTGAATGGTTTTGACCAAAATGCTGACACTGATATGGACAATGAAGCCCACGCTGAGGTGGTCTCAGAGGAGGATGAGAAACCTATTGGGATCTGGAGCAAATGTCACTCTTGCTATCCTTTAACAAAGAGACTCAACAGCATTTTGCCCCTGCCCTAGAGAATTGTAAAATGCTGAACTTGAGAGACATGATTTAGGATATCTGGCAGAAGAAATGTCTAAGCAGCAAAGCATTCTAGAAGTGAACTTTTTCTGAAAGTGCACAGTCATACATTCACAAAGAGATGATCTCACATTGGAACTCATTTTTAAAAGGGAAGCAGAATATAAAAGTTTGGAAAATTTGCAGACTGACTGAACATGCAATAGAAAATAAAAACCCATTTTCTGGGGAGAAATTCAAGTTGGCTGCAGTAATTTGCATATGTAACAAGGAGTTGAATGTTTATAGCCAAAACAGTGGGAAGATGTCTTCAGGGCATTTTAAAGATCTTCATGGCAGCCCCTCCCATAGCCCGTAGAGGCCTAGGAGGGAAAAATGGTTGTGTGGGATGGTCTCAGGGCCGCACTGCTCTATGCAGTCTCTGGACATGGCACACTGTCCCAGCTACTCCAGCTCTAGCTGTGGCTAAAAAGGGCCAAGGTACAGCTCGGTCCATTGCCTCAGAGGGTGTAAGCCCCAAGCCTTGGTAGCTTCAATGTGGTGTTGGCACTGCAGGTGCACAGAAGGCAAGGGTTGAGATTTGGGAGCCTTTGCCTAGATTTCAGAGGATGTAGGTAAATGCCTGGATGTCGAGGCAGAAGTTTGCTACAGAGGAGGAGCCCTCACAGAGAACCTCTACTAGGGGAGTGCAGAAGGAAAATGTGGGGTTGGATCCCCTACACAGAGTCTCCACTGGGGCACTACCTAGTGGAGCTGTGAGAAGTGGACCACCATCTTTGAGACCCCAGAATGGTATATCCTCTGAGAGTTTGCACTGTATGCCTGAAAAACCTGTAGGCACTCAATGCCAGCCTGTGGAAGCAGCCACAGGGCTGCACCCCGCAGAGCCTCAGGGGGAGAGCTGCTCAAAGCCTTGGCAGCTTACCTCTTGTATCAGAATGTCCTGGATGTGAGACATGGAGTCAAAGGAGATGATTTTGGAGATTTAAGATTTAATGACTGTCCTGCTGGGTTTCAGACTCACATGGGGCCTGTAGCTACTTTTTTTTGGCCAATTTCTTCCATTTTGAATGGGAGCATTTACCAATGCCTGTACTACCACTGTATCTTGGAAGTAACTAACTTGTTTTTGATTTTACAGGCTCATAGGCAAAAGTGATATGCCTTGTCTCAGATGAGACTTTGGACTTGGACTTTGGGTTAATACTGCAATGAGGTAAGATTTTAGGGGACATTGGAAGGCATAATTGTATTTTGAAATGTGAGAAGGACATGAGATTTGGGAAGGGCCAGGGACAGAATGACATGATTTGGCTTTGTGTCCCCACCGAAATCTCATCTTGATTTGTAATTCCCATGTGTCAGGGGAGGGCCTTGGTGGGAGGTGACTGGATCACGGGGGCAGATTTCCAGCATGCTGTTCTTATGGTAGTCAGTGAGTCCTCATAAGATCTGACGGTTTAAAAGTGTGCACTTCTGATCTCTCTCTCTCTCTCTCTCTCTCTTTCTCTCTCTCCCCACTGCTGCCTTGTGAAGAAGGTGCTTGCTTCTCCTTCACCTTCTGCAATGATTGTAAGCCAGGCAGAACTGTGAGGCAATTAAACCTCTTTTCTTTATAAATTAGTCTCTAGTAGTTCTTTATAACAGTATGAAAACAAACTAACATTAACATGTAACAACTAAAAACAGATATGTAACTAACAAAATATCCAAAAAATGCATGAAGTAAAAACTGACAGAATTAAAAGCGACGTAAACAATTCAACAATAATATTTAGAGATTTCACCACCCCACATTAAATAAAGGCTAGAAAAATTAGGCAGATTATCAACTGCATAGAGAAAGCCTAAGCAACACTATAAACCATCTACCCCATAGATATCTGGAGTATGGTCCATCTAACAATAGCAGGATATACATTTACTCAAGTGCACAGGATAGATCAGAGGCTAGGCCATAAAATAAGCCTCAGTAATTTTAAAAGAATTAAAGTCACCAAAAATAAGTTATTCAATAACAAAAGAATTAAAGGAAAAATATGGGTTGGATATGAAATTTGTGGTTAAAAGTTCTTTTTTCAGCACTTGTTCCATTTCCTCTGACCTCCATAGTTTCTGATGAAACGTCTATCATATTTCTGTTATTCTGTAGGTAAAATGTCATTTTTCTCTGGCTGCTTTAAAGATTTTCAATTTTTGGTTGAGGGAAGTTTAGCTACGTGTGTATTAAGGTCTCCAGAGAAATAAATCCATATATGTACAAATACACAGAAAAACTTCCTCTAAGGGATTGGCTCATGTGATTATGCAGGCTATCAAGTTCAAAATCTGCAAACAAGGCTGACAGGCTGGAGACCCAGAAAGGAACTAATGTTGCAGCTTGCACCCAAAGGCAGTCTATTGGCAGAATCCTTTCCTGTTCAGGGAAGGTCAGTTTTTGTTCTGTTAAGGCCTTCAAATGATTGGATGTTGCCCACCTACATTATGGAGGGAAATTTGCCATATTCAAAGTTCACAGATGTAAATGTTAATCTTATCTGAATTAAAAAAAAAAATCCTCACAAAAACATTCAAATAAAATTTGCTCAAATATCTAGAAACCATTGCCCAGTCAAGCTGATGCATAAATTAACCATTATAGTGGGTGCTGACATGCATTTTGTTTGTTTTTGTCTTTATCATATTTGCAGTTCATTTGGCTTCTGAAATATGCAGTATTATCTTTTGCCAAATTTGGGAAATTGTGAGCTAATCTTACTTTGAATGTTTTTAAGTTTTGCCTTCTTTCTTCACTCCTTCCAGGATTGGATAACATAAATTTTAGGTCTTTCATCATAATCCCACAAATTCCTAAACCCCTATTCATTTGTTTTCAGTTTGTTTTCTCTATACTGTTCGAATTGGGTAATTTCTATTTTTTTCAAATTTACTGATTCTTTCCTTATTTCTCCATTCCATTATTGAGCCCATCTCTGAGTTTTTAATTTTGGTTATTGTATTTCTACTTCTAAAATTGCCAGTTGGTTCTTCTTCATACAGTCTATTACTTTGCTGACACTTGCGGGTATTTTCTGTTTTCACATTGGTTTCAAGAATGTTCATAATCACTTGTTAAAACATTTTTGTAATTAATGATTTAAAATCCTTGTCAGATACTTAAAATTCTTGACAAATAATTCTAAAACTGGAATCTGCTCAGTTCAGCATCTGTTGTCCTTTTTGGTTTTCATTCAAGACAAAATATTCTTGGTTCCTGATATGAGTATTATATAAGTATTTTTTAATTGAAATCTAGACGTTTGAAATCATGTTTCAGGAGATTTCTTCTGACAGGACACCACTCCAGCCGAGAAAAATGAAAACCTCCAGGTAGGGTGGAAGTCTAAGTACCCAACTCAGCCTCTACTAGCACTCAGCATACAGGGAACAAGGATCTCCTTGTTATTTCTGGACATGGTTGGGAGTTCAGCTTCCCACCAGGCCTCCATCAATACCAGTCCGGCTGTGAGGAGTAAGGGTACCACATTATTGTTCCCCACAAACCATCCACTGAAACCACAGAGGAGTGGCCTCATTACTACCAAGCAGAAATGACAGTCTTGATTCCCATTAGGTATCCCTTGATACCTTCCCAACACAGTAAGGGAGGAATACCTCATCAACGCCAGCTTAGGGCAGAAGTCTAGTTTCCTAGATGGCCTATCCCGACACTCGTAGGAAGGGGGCTTATTGCCCAGCATGAATTAAAGTCCTAGTTCCCTGCCTCACCTTCATTAACACCACCCCAGTGAGGAGATAGAAGAGTTCCTCATTTATAAGCTGATAAAAGTGAAAATCTAAGTTCTCTCTCTAACAAGCCTTCACTGCCATTTCTTCCTATGGTACTTGGTGGAAGTAGAATGGGTATTATCTAATAGTTTTCTGTCTTACTAGGTGGAGGCTTTTGGTTAGAGAAAGCAGGCTTTTCGTGAGGTTTGTTTCTATACGCCCATTGCTATTTCTGGGTTACTCACTTCTCCAGTGCTTTAGTGGGACAAAAAGGGTAAAAAGAAAATCCGGGGAACCCACTACTATGTAGTTACTTGGGTGTCATGGTTCCTAGCTAGTCTGCCTGTTTCTGTCTTACTTTCAGGGACTTATTTCAGGGACTATATTTTTATATAAAATATCCAGTTTTTTTTTTAATCTGTACTAAGTAGGAAAAATATAAAAAGTCATGTCTTCATATTTCTGAAAGCAGAGGTTTATACAAACATAAGTTATCTTCCTATGCATTACATTTTAGGCTTTTGCCATTTTTGTTTTACTTTACTTGGTATTTTCCACTTTCTTTTCTAAGGAGCATTTTTTCAAACTCCTCAACAATATTTCAGCTCAACAGGGACAGGAAAAAAGTGATTGATTACATCTAGTCCAGGATAACTAGAAAGACGTAAGATCCCCAGGAGCCAGGACTGGTGGTGAGACAGTAACAGATTTTTCTATTCCAGTTGCATATTTGAGTAAACATTTACAGGGGAGGGAGAGGTAAAAGTGTGAAGCCCTGAAAACTGAAATGTCAAGGAATGCTATGACTTTAAGTTCCTTCCTTCCTAAATATTATATGTAGTCATGGAATGTAGATATGGAATTATATCCCACTGAAACAAGGATTGGAATATTTTGCTCACTGCTGTATTTACAATAATCCCTGGTATAAAGAAGATAATGAATAATCTTTGTTGAATTAAGAAATGAATAAATGCAAAGAGAATGTTCACACAACTTTTGTTAACAATAGTAACTAGAGATATTTTGGTTTCCTTTTGAAATACCTAATAATTAACAAATCATCTATCAAATTTTCATATACTACAGTAAAATACGGCTTTAAAAATATTAATGAAAAATTACTTTTCTTGTTATTGTGAGTGTGCTTAGCTGTTTTTCTAAACAGGTTGCTTTTGATGTTTTTAAATCATTTTTTGGTTCTAACTCCACAATATTTTCTTCGCTGCAAACGTATTTATTGGTATAAATTTCAATACTGGTAACTAAGGAGGTTAAAATCATAAGTGAAAACTATTCTAGTATTTACAAATGGCATTTTGAAGAAATTTGGTTAAGAGCTACTCATTTTACATATTTGTCCAGCGCCATTACTTAGCACTCAGTTAAAGAGAAATGTAAAATTTTCAGATGTTATAAGATGACTTGCTAAAATGGATTAGGAATTCAATCAAATTGCCTACGAAGTTATATTTAATTTTTTATTTCATAGCTCACAGTCAGTTTATAGTCAAAGGATATAAATACTTTTAAATCAGTGAAAATTCATTGCATATTGATTAATCATATGACTTGTTGAATTCCACATCTTGTACAATAATATTATAGTACTCTGAGGAGAAATATTATCAGATATACTGGATATCATGTAAAATTTTGCAACGAAGGTGTTCTAAAATATGCTGAGAATCAGCTTTCATAATAATATGGAAAAAAGGTAAAATAATTCATATAGAAAAAATCATAATGTGTTGATGGTTTGTGGTACATTACAGAACAAGAAGTGGAATGATTTTCTTCCTGATCCTACATTCATGCATGAGAAGTTCATGTGATAATTATTTTACCGTATGCTTCTCTTTTTCTAGATAGCAAGTAATTTGTGTTACTTTTTACCGTTGTACTGTTATTTTTATTGCTTTTCTTCCCCAAACATTTCTCATCCATGGTTATGGAATCTGCAAATATATTAGGCCAATTGTATTTTAATTCCTCCCACCCTCAGCGTTAGGGATAAAATAAGTTGACAAAATCAATACTATAATAATATAGGACTTTTCCTCAACTCAATAACTGTAAAACTGGTTTACATTAACAGAAAAAATATTAAAAACATTATAAAAGGGCCAATTATCATTGCTATAAAAATCAGACTTTGTTTTTTGTTTTTGTTTTTTTTTGAGACGGAGTCTCGCTCTGTCACCTAGGCAGGAGTGCAATGGCGCAATCTCGGCTCACTGCAACCTCCGCCTCCCAGATTCAAGCAATTCTCCTGCCTCAGCCTCCCCCAAGTAGCTGGGATTACAGGTGTGCACCACCAGGCCCAGCTAATTTTTATATTTTTAGTAGAAACGGGTTTTCACCATGTTGGCCAGGCTGGTCTGGAACCCCCGACCTCAGGTGATCCACCCACTTCGGCCTCCCAAAGTGTTGGGATTGCAGATGTGAACCACCATGCTCTGCCAAAATCAGACATTTTTTAATGACCTTTTTAACAATGAGCATCAACTACTATATTGGGTATGGTCACAAAAATGGCCTTTCATGTCCTAAGACATATCTAGTAGACTATTTTAATACCCTAGGTGAAGAAAAAAAAAAAAACACTTTTCACTTAATTCTGGATCTACTTTTTTTCCTACTTTTATCCAAATGATTTTTCTTTTTTCTTTTTTTTTTTTTTTTTTTTTTCAGATGGAGCCTTGCTCTGTTGCCCAGGCTAGAGTGCAGTGGCGCAATCTCGGCTCACTGCAAGCTCCGCCTCCCGGGTTCATGCCATTCTCCTGCCTCAGCCTCCCGAATAGCTGGGACTACAGGCACCCGCCACCATGCCCGGCTAATTTTTTGTATTATTAATAGAGACGGGGTTTCACCGTGTTAGCCAGGATGGTCTCGATCTCCTGTGATCCACCTGCCTCGGCCTCCCGAAGTGCTGGGATTACAGGCGTGAGCCACCATGCCCGGCCCAAATGATTTACGGAAGCTTCTGACACTAAATTATCAACTAAAATGACATTAACTTCTAACAAGTCTAGTGAGGAAGTTTAATCAACAACACAAAAATTTCTATATTCTAACTGTAATAGGGATTTTTTATATTTATTATTATAATGAACAATGAAAAACAAAATGCCTATGTAAACATGTATGGTTAAACAAATTATGGTATATTTATACTGTAAAAACTAAAGAAGAGTAACAAAAATAGGAAAAGCTTATATGTACTGACATGAAAATATCTCCAAGTCAGTGAGTAAATACAGCAAGAAAGAGTAAATTTAGTAAGATAACATTTTTTTTAATCAATTCAAAACTATATAGCTTGTTATGAGCATTTAAGTATATAAAAGTAGATGGAAAAATCTCTTAGAAGAATATACAATGGAACTGCCAATACTGGTTACTTCTAGGGAGAATTGTTTGAATTTTATTTCAATAAAAACATATTCATCCTTAATTACTTGTAAAAGAAAAATGATCTAACATGAAGTTTAAAGGGAAATAAAAATTTGACATTAAATGCTCAATGTGCTTTAAATATTTCAGCTTATGCAGGCACAGAATTGAATAATTTTTAAAATAATTTTAAATATTAATGTTTTACTGTATGATACTGACATGATAATTTCTGTTATTGCTAAAGTGTACCCAAATCTATCTAATTTGTTTAAGAAAAGAAAAGCAAAAAGGTATAATATTTTTTTCTGATATATTTCATGCCTTAATTTTTTTCCTGTCAGAGGAACCACAGCAGAGACAAAAAAGATAATCTAGCAACTAATTCTATATTATTTTGTACTTGAATTTCTTTACCTGCTGATACTATATTCTCAAATATTCTCAAACTTTCTCAAATTCAGAACAGTGTCTAATATTACCTTTGTAATCCACTGAGTATGCTTTCAATGGATATTTGTTGCTGAATGGAAAGAAATTCTATAGCAAAATAAGACTACACATATAATTTGTATATGTTTGCACATACCTACATGTGTACATTTTTTACTAAAGTTATCCAAGGTTTAAAAAAGTAAACACTCTCAAACCTCTACCTTATATTCATCCACAATAATGCTGAGGGCTTCGTGACCAGCTTTCCTCATGTCTTCCAATTCTTGTTTATGTTTTTCCTGAAAGAAAAAAGAAACTAAAACCATGAGTTTTTCTTCTGTTTTGTTTTCAAAATAATAAAACCATAGACTTTTGCTGCTTCCACGAATGATTCAGTGGTTTGTGGCACATCAATGCTACAGCTGGAAACAAAGAGAAAACATATATATATATATAAAGCTTTGCTTAAAAGCATTGGAGAACACTGAGGCAATGAGGAATTAAAGGGAAACAAGAGAAAAAGGAAAACCATGTTGAGAGGTGAGATAACACAAGGCAAAGGTACTTTCCCTTGGGGCATCTGCCAATTCTTGACATGGATCAAGAGATGGGAAACCCTGCGTCACTGCAACAAGCCTTGGCCTCTATATTTCTAATACATCCCAAAGTTTGAGAACCACTGGAATATGATTAGACCCCAATTCTACCTACCTAGGACAGGAGAGGATGAAGTCTCTTTGGACACTGTTAACATCCTACAATCTTTCCAGTTTTTCACATATGATGTCCAGCTTCCAAAACAAAATTATCAGAAATGACAACAGAAAAAACAAAAAGAAACACCCCCTCCCGCCCCCCTCCCACACACACAGAAAACAGATAAGACAAAAGAAATAGTTCCAGAGATAGGTCCATAGGTGGTTTCGATGCTAGTTATCACAGAGTTTTTAAAATGTATGTAAGAGTTCCTAACACATCCAAAAAACAGAAGGGAAATGGAGAAAACAGATAGGATAGAGATTTTCACCAGAGAACTGGAATCCATAAAATAGAAATTCTAGATCTATGAAATATGTACTATTAATAACTCAATAGATGACATAATCAGATGAAAGAGAGCCGGAAACAGAATTAGGAAACCAAAAGACAGTGAAAAAAAATAAAGACTACAGCAAAAGGAATATTTAATATGATGGAAAATATTTTTAAAAATCTTTTAAAAGACATATAGGACAGAGGAAGCCAAAGAAAGCAAAAAGAGAAAAAAGACGAGAAAAAAGTGAAACAAGTAGTAAGATGATAAATCTCCGCACATTCTCACTCATAGGTGGGAACTGAACAATGAGAACACATGGACACAGGAAGGGGAACATCACACTCTGGGGACTGTTGTGGGGTGGGGGGAGTGGGGAGAGATAGCTTTAGGAGATATACCTAATGCTAAATGACGAGTTAATGGGTGCAGCACACCAGCATGGCACATGTATACATATGTAACTAACCTGCACATTGTGCACATGTACCCTAAAACTTAAAGTATAATAATAATAAAATAATAAAAATTTAAAAATTTAAAAAAGATGATAAATAATGAAGTGGAAAAACCCACAAAACTTCCAACATCAGGCACGAATGTGGGACATTATATAATCTATAAATATTTCTAAAAATGAAAAGATATTACAAAATATATCAATAAATATAACATTTTACATAAAATTTTAAAACTACTAAAATAAAAAACACAATTTACCAAAACTAAAGAATTACAAAATTTGAATAGTCCTATATATGTTAAAGAAACTGCACCTGTATTAACTAAAAAAAACAAACACATACACAAAAAATTCTCCAGACACATGGAATCTGTACACACAGAAAGCTTAATAGGTGAATTTTAAGAAATATTTAAGAAAAAATTAACAGATATCTTCCACAAACTCTTCCAGAGAATGTGAAAATAAGGAATACTCCCTACCATATTTTATTTGGACAACATACCCCTTATACTAAAATCTGCAGAGTTGTTTAGAAGAAAAGAAAATTATGAGTTAAATCTCTTTTATAAATACAAAAACTAAAATCCCAAAGAAAATAATAGCAAATTAAACCTAGTGACATAAAGAATACATCTCAATCAAGTGGGATTTATTATACTAATGCCAGGTTGGTTGTAGTGATGAACCACATAAACTTCCTATACAATCTTCCACACACTCCCCTTCTGACACTGGCTTGCTGGGTGTTACTGCCTAAGATGACAGCAGAAGACACGTGCTGCAACTGGCACTGCCTCTGCCAGCCTGTGACCCACCGTGAATGACTGCAAAGGATAACTCACTGTCACTTGAAGGAGCTCTGAGAGAAAATTAAGCTGCAACTATATTTAGGATAAAAGAGAATGCTGATAGTTCTTGTCCATTTACTGCTACCACTTCCTTTTTCATCAATTCCCCTTATTTATTATACCTTACTGATTAAACAGGTTCCATTTCATTATCAACATCTTATTCTTTTTTCTGGTAAGCCCTTTATCTTGTCATATTACAGCTAAATCACAATTTATTCAACTACCTAATCATAAAGAATCAACAGCAATTGTCAAAAACACAGATTTTTGTTAGTAGGATTATAAATCCATGTTTCATGGCAACGATCTACTTTAAGATAGTTTCCCATTTTTGTGGGAGCTCCTTTAGTTAAAACTAGGTAATAATAACTAAATCCATTAACCTGTTTAAGAAAATTCCTGTAATATACTACACTATAAACAAGCAAACAAATGAGGACATCACTAAAACTCATCACTTTGGAACTCCCATTCATGTCAAGTTATTTCACAAATAGTATATTACTGTCTCATGTAAGGACCTAGGTAAGGCAAAAGCACCAACCCATATACTAAATATTAGCATAGCTTTTATTCTCATTGCTCAAGATTTTAAAAGTAAATAGAAATATTCTGCCATTTTATGTTTATAACCTAGTGGATCATAATAGGCAGTTCTTGGGATGCATATATCCTACCCTGGGGATATATGCAGTCAGATACACTAGTGTTACCCAGAGACTGCTTTACAAAATAGAAAAGCTAATATAAAATAGGCTACCATAGTCAAACAAATTGTGGAAATTAACAACATATATTCACATATTAAAACCTCTGACAAACTCATAAGTAATCTGTTTACCTTTACTAAAATCAGGATTTTTTAAACTTATCTGATTAAATATTATTTTCTTTCTTTCTTGACAATACCTATTACTAATTTAAAAATTGAAGAGACTACCAAAAAAATTCGACAATCTTTAAAAATTAGAGTTAATTAGCCTAAGGCAAAGCACACTACCCTAGATGCCTTAAATGAAACTAAAGACGAATATATTATTTGGCCTAATTCATTACAAATTGAAAATAAATGTATATCATTTCAATTATAGTGTAATCATTCAATATCGATGGCTCTGAATAATTATAGTGTAATCATTCAATATCGATGGCTCTGAATAATGACATTAGTTATTAAAAAGTATTGGTGTGTAGGCTGGGTGCTGTGGCTCACGCCCGTAATCCCAGCACTTTGGGAGGCTGAGGCGGGCAGATCACAAGGTCAGGAGTTCGAGACCAGCCTAGCCAACATAGTGAAACCCTGTCTCTACTAAAAATACAAAAATTAGCTGGGCGTGGTGGTGGAAGCCTGTAGTCCCAGCTACTCGGGAGGCTGAGGAAGGAGAATCACTTGAACCCGGGAGGCGGAGGTTGCGGTGAGCCGAGATCGCGCCACTGCACTCCAGCCTGGGCAACAGAGCAAGACTCTGTCTCAAAAAGAAAAAAAAAGTATTGGTGTGCTATTAAAAGTGTAAGACTATTACACTTGCTATACTTGCTATTTGCTGCTGTGCTTCAAAGGCTATTTACCCCAGATATTGCATGTTCACTTCCTCTACATCATGCTCAAAAATTATCTTACTAGAGAGACTTTTCCTGACCACTTATATAAAATAGTACACCACTGATCAATATCCACTAATCATGCTTTTTCTCATAGCACCTATCACTATGTATTACATTTATTGTTCATTCCTGTGTGCCCCCACTATATTGGAAGAGGTAGTGCTAGTACTCCACAACACTATGGCACTTATTAAAGTGAGGAAAAAAGGACATCAGAAAGATTTCACACTTTGACAATACAATTTGAGAGCGTGAAATTTTACTTGACACTGAATATAGGTAACTTAAATGCTGCCTTATATAAAATGTCAGCTCAGTCAATAAGCACTGAATAAAGAAGAACTAGAATGGCCAAGATTTGAAGGCCAAATATATTTGGGAAGTACGAAAGGTGTTTCCTTCTTCATCAGAGAGAGACAGAACTAGAGCAGAACTATTTTACATCAAAATAAAAGTGTTAATAACATTATTCACAACCTGGTCTTCAAAAGTAGGCTCCTTGACAGGTTCAAGTAGATGTCTGTTGAATGACTGAATGAGAATAAAATCAATGTTCTTTTTCTGATACAAGCTAAGCATATAAATTAAAAAAATTTTTTGGGTACATTTCTCTATCTGTTAAATGAGGGAGATGGAATAAATTATTTCTAAGATACACTTCCAACTTCCTTAATACTATCCTATAATACAGTATGTTACAAACAGATCAATTAACCCTCCTTTGCTTACTTCAAAGTTACTAATGGCAATCATACAACCACACTGTGACACAACAGTCTGTCCACAGGAATAACCAAATAGTCATACTAAAATTCATTTCAAGAATATGCAGCCAAATATTTACAGCCTATCTTTAAAGGAGTCAAGCCAAATTTGACCACAATAATAACTTTCTTTCAAAATGTCAAACCCCAAAACATCACTAGAAAGAGATGACAAAAGCAAATATCCTCACCTTAAATAAAACTGTGGATTTTTTAAGCAAAAAAAGACTTCAAAAGTAAACTATTCCAATATGTTCATTTTATAAATGAGGATACTGAGGCCCAGATAAGTCAAAAAATGTGTTCAAGGTCACTAAAATAATATGATTGTGTGCCAGGTATTGTTCAATAAGGGCACAGCAAACCCTAAATCAGATCTCCTGATAGCCACCCTAATGCTTATTTGAAAATATCCTATCAAAAATCAAGCTATTAGAATGTATTCTCATTCCCTCATCAACAGGTATGTTTTCTGTATATAACTCAATAAAACACAGAATCACATATCATATTTCATACATTCTGGTGAAGCAAAGACATATAACTAGTCATGGTCCGTAAAATCTGAAATAGTCATTCATCAATTTATTACTGCTAACCAGAAATTTTGGTCTGAAAAACTGATGCAAAGGTGCTTTTCAAAGGTAAATGGAAGCATATTCCAACCAAGCCTCCACTACCCATAACTGCTCCAATCCCAACTGCTTCTTAGCTAAAATGATTAAATATACCTAAGTTTCATACTCTTAATATGCCTGGACATGATGAGTATTCAAGAAATTTTTTAATAGAGACACATGTAAACAAGGAACCATACAATCAACAAATAAAGGTGCTTTCCAAAAAAAGTGAAATATTAACAAAAATTTTGTTCAGTAACCATCACTGGTATATTGATGACAATACACGATATGAATATCTGAACCAAGGCTTTCTTTTAAAAAGCTCATATTCTATTTTTGTTGGCAATTGCCAAGCCAAGTAGAACCTCTACTAATCACTTCTAAGAAATTAATTCATGCATAGCAACAGGATCCTCTGCTACACGGATGGCTAAAAGTCAGCATTTAATTGATGTGTTTGGAATGAATTATTACAGTGATCTTAAAAAGATAAAGAAATTCCAAAGATCAACTAACCACATTATATTCCATCTATCAGAAAGCAGCTGCTTTTCACCTTCCAAATTATTTGGTCAAGAGCCAGTCTATAATTAGCCTACCAGAACATAATTAGCAAATAATATCTGATTGAGAAAGGTTTTCCAATATAGAACATAATTAGCAAATATTATCTGATTGAGAAAGGTTTTCCACTATAGAACATAATTAGCAAATAATATCTGATTGAGAAAGGTTTTCCAATATAGGCTTCACCACCACCTTCTTGGAAGCCACAAGATTACATCCCTTTCACAACAACGAATCCACTGTATTGGAGAAGGCAGACACAAACACCTCCAGATATTCCAAAAGGAAATCTGTGGGGCAAGAAATCAAAATAAAGATGGTGTGATAACATACAACCCATACATGAAAAAATTCGGAATGAGAAATGGTACAAAATTACCCCTCCCAAAATCTGAAAAATCCAACACATCTAAATGGCCTAATTATAAATGCCAGAGTAGTGCAAAAAAAGATAAGATTATACCATATGTGCATACCATCAATACAGAAGAAAAACAACAAAACAACACCTCTTCAGTTCTCATCAACCACATCACTTGACAGCTGCAATAAGCCTGGTTGTTTTTCCTAAAGGAGCCATAATCCTTGCAACGAAAGTAGGTTTCATGAGCATGATACAACATTATGCAACAGAAGTCTTTCCCATAGAATAAATGTTTAGTCTCCACCTCTACATTGTCTCATTTCTCAGTCTCTCTATACATGTAGTAACAAATAACAGCACATGACAGACCCTTCAAAATCATCCCCAGTCTCACAAACTAATTCCAAATTTAGATAAATATAAAATGGAAGAAAAAAAACACACATGATAAGAATCAGTCTAAAAGTATAAATATTACAAATGGAAATAAAGAATTTTGCCATAGGATTCTATCTCCAATACTAAAATGGATGCCCTTAATAAGATTGTCCCTCTAGAGTAAGATAACCAAAATCTCAAAAGACTAATTTTAATCACTGCTCCTATTCCAATAATGGCTGCCTTAACACATGGCATGAATTTCATGGCATGCAGATTCCAAAGCCATCAGCTTTGCTGAATCCTCTCAATCAGAAACAGGATTAAAAAAGCAAACTTCTCCTGGAATTCTCCTAACAGATACAGTGAGGAAGGTATGCAAAGGACCTCACAATCTACTCATACAAGCACAGAAGTAATCAATTTTCCTATATGTTAATTTACAAACCCCAGAAATGACAATTTTATATCCATGTCTAAGGCAAAACATTAAGGAAAGAAATTGGTGGTGAGCCAAAGCGGAATGAATAAACAGGTCACACTAAATTCATCACCCTGAAGATGAAAACAACTACTCAAATGAACTTCATAAGAGAAGATGATATGTTTACAACAGTGCCATGATTGTTGCCATTGTCAATTCTCCATTAGCACAACATGTCCTCTACCAACCACATTCTGTCAAAGAATGAAGGCCAAATCCTACACAGCCTGAGAAATGTAGCCTTTTGCAAAACCCCAGCTGAGATCCTGGTTAATTTGTTGATTGGATTGGCTCTGTTCCCACTGCTACTTCAATGTCACCTTATCAAGTGCTCCAATAGGAAAGAAACTCCACTTTGCATCAGATTCAGTTTATTAGCATCAGATTCAGATCATTATTTATCTTTAGCTTTGTTAAGATCTTCAAAGGCATGGAGCCTTGAAAGGCAGATGCTCAAAACTAACTCAGGCCAAGCACAGGAGGAAAAAAAAATAGAAGGCAGAAAGAAGGAAGAAAACGATGTAGGAAGAGGAAAATATCAAGGAAAGGAAGGACAGCAAGGGAAGGAGAAAGAGGGATAAAAGAGGAGGAAAAAAGGAGAGGCAGGAGGGAGAAGGGAAGAGCAAAGTTTGCAATCCTAAGACCAGCTTTGCCTACTTGTATGGGACAATTACAACAAATCCTCCCTACTTTGTGGTTACAGCAAGAAACAATGTTTAGTCACTGAATGTTAAAGAAAAGGCCTGTAACCTATATATACACAATAAATCTACAAACGTCCCGATCAATAAGAATTTAAAACACTCTAGAATTCTTGTAATATTGTATGGCTTTTCCCACTTTAAGTCTGGTCTCCAAAGTTTGAGTAAATTTTAACCCCAGAAGCAGAAAGGAACTTGCTAATAACACAGCTTCTCAACACATTTTAAAATTTGATCAAAAAAAGGAATATGGCTGAATACTAAAAATCACTTTTTAATGCTCTTGTCATTTATCTGTGTAGTGTGTTTTCCTGTCCACAGTATTATTATTTGCCTTCATATATTTAAATATACTAAAAGTGGTACTTGTAGTGGGTTGAATTATGACCTCCCTAAAAGGTTTGTCCAAGTCCTAAAACCTGGTAGCCGCGCATGTAACCTTATTTGGAAATAGTGTCTTTGTAGATACAATTAGTTAAGAATCATAAGATGAGATTATCCTGGACTTAGGATGGGCCCAAAGTCCAATTATTGGTATCCTTACAAGAGAAAGGAGGGGAAGATTTGAGACAGAGATGTAGAGTAGAAAGGCACGTGAAGAAAGAAGTAGAGGATAGAGTTATGCTGCCATATGCTGAAGAGTATCAGTCACTAATAGAAGCCGGAAGACGTAAAGAAATATTCCCCCTAGATCATTTGGAGGCAGTATGACCCTGCCAAGATGTTGATTTTTAAAACTGTGACCTCCATAACATAATTTTCTGCTGTTTTAAGCCACTAAGTGCATGTAATTCATTTTACTGTACTTCATTATATTGTGCTTCACAGATACTGCATTTTTTACAAATTGAATGCTTTTAAGTTCAGGGGTACACATGAAGGTTTGTTACGTAGAAAACTTGGGTCATGGGGGTTTACTGTATAGATGATTTCATCATACAGGTATTAAGCCTACTACCCATTCGTTGTTTTTCCTGATCCTCTCCCTCCTCCCACCCTCCACCTTCCAATTGGCCCCAATGTGTGTTGTTTCCCCCATGAATCAGCACCATTTTTCCAACAGTTGTGTGCTCACTCTGTGTCTCTGTGTCAAATCTTGGTAATTGTAACAATATTTCAAAATTTTTCATTATTAGTTCATCTATTACAGTGATCTGTGATCAGTTATCTTTGATGTTACTATTGTTTTCAGGTGCCACAAACCATGCCCATATCAGATGGCAAACTTAATAAATGTTGTATGTGTTTCGACTGAAAAACCAGCCATTTCCCCATCTACCCCTCTCTCCTAGAGCCTCTCTATTCTCTGAGACACAGTAATATTGAAGTCAGGCCAATTAATAACCCTATAATAACAGCTAAATGTTCAAATGACAGATAAAGTCATATGGCTCTCACTTTAAATCAAAAGCTAGAAATAATTAACCTTAGTGAGGAAGGCATATGAAAAGCTGAGAGCAGCCAAAACCAAGGGCTCTCAGGTCAACAGCCAAGATGGGAATGAATGCAAAGGACAAGTTTTTGGAGGAAATTAAAAGTGCTACTCCAGTGAAGACACAAATGATAAGAAAGTGATACAGCCTTATTGCTGATATGCAGAAAGTTTTAGTGGTCTGGAGAGAAGACTGAAACAGCCACAACATTTCCCCCTAAGCCAAAGCCTAATTCAGAACAAGGCCATAACTCTCTTCAATTCTGTGAAGGCTGAGAAAGGTTAGGAAGCTGTGGAAGACAAATCTGAGGTTATCAGAGATTGGTTCATGATGTTGAAGGAAAAATGCCATCTCCATAAGATAAAAATGTCAGGTGAAGCAGCAAGTACTGATGTAGAACTGCGGCAAATTATCAAGAAGTTCTAGCTAATATAGTGGATGAAGGTGGCAACACTAAACAACAGATCTGCAATGCAGACAAAACATTCTTCTCTTGGAAGATGACACGCAGGACTTTCACAACCAGAGGGAAGAAGTCAATGACTGGCTTCAAAGTTTGAAAGGACAGGCTGACACTCTTGTTAGGGGCTAATGCAGTTGGTGACTTTAAGTGGAAGCCAATGCTCACTTACCATCTACAAAATCCAGGGCCCTTAAGCATTATGCTGCTCTTGCCTGTGTTCTATCAGAGGAAGAACAAAGCGTGGATGACAGCACATCTGTTTACGGTATGGTTTACCAAATATTTTAAGACCATTGTTGAGAACTACTGCTAAAAATAATAATAATAATAAATTCCTTTCCACCACAGATGTGGTAGAAATAGCAAGAAAACTAGAGTTGTAAGTAAAAGATGTGACTGAACGCTGCAATTACATAACACTCGAACAGATAAGGAGTTGCTTCTTAGGAACAAACAAAGAAAGTGGTTTCTTGAGATGGAATCTACTTCTGGTGAAGATGCTGTGAACACTGTTGAAATGGCCGCCAGGGATTTGGAATATTACCACACAAACTTAATTAACAAAGTAGTGGCAGGAATTGAGAGAACTTACTCCAATTTTGAAAGAAGTTTTATTTTGGGTAAAATGCTATCACACAGCACTGCATGTTACAGAGGACTCTTTCATGAAAGCAAGAGTCAATAGATGCAGCAAACTTCATTATAGTTTCACTTTAAGAAACTGCAACAGCCACACCAACCTTCAGCAACCACCACCCTTATCAACAGCAGCTATCAACATTGAGGCAAAATCCTTCACCAGCAAAAGGATTATGACTCAATGAAAGCTCAGGTGATTTTTAGCATGTTTTAGCAATAAGCATTTTAATTTAGGTACATTTTTTAGACATGAATGGTATTACATACAATAATCTACGGTATAGTATAAATGTAACTTTTATGTACTCTAAGAAACAAAAAAATTCATCTTACTCACTTACTGCAATATTTGCTTTACTGCAGCAGTCTGGAACCAAACTCTGCAGTATCTCCAAGGCATGCCTGTATAGGGTTATCCAGAAAAGATCTGTGGAGAACTTGTTTGTCTAATAGCATGAATCCCCTTAACTCAGAGGATTCACAAGGTTTTTGAAAATGGTGTACTAAGAGAAATACAGCAAGCCTAGAATGAAGGAGATATACAGCAAGCCTAGGATGAAGCCTAGGATGCAGGAAAAATAAATGAAATGAAGAATGACTGTCAGACTGCTGAGATTCTACAGGGAGGAAGTAGGCTCATTAGACTAGGAAGCTATAAATATGTGCTAATCTTCAGAAAAAAAAAAAAAGGAGGAATGACCTGAGGTTAGATCTACGGTTGCAAAGCCCAGGGCCCAGAGGCATAGCTTGAGCCACCGGTGCAGAGGCAGAGGCCAGCAGAGCCACAGGCACAGATGGCAACAGAACTGCAAGTAGAAAACATAACCAAGCCAGGGCCATGGGCACAGAGGGCAACTGACCTGGAGCACAGGCCCAGACAATAATCAAACTAGAGTCACAGGTCCAGAAACTCACCAAACTGTAGTCATGGGCTTAGATGGCAAAGCATCAAGCCATAGAGGATTAGTCTTAGGCCTTGAAACCTAATGAATTTTCCTTCCTGTGTTTTAAATTTGTTTGGAACTGGTGATTCCTTTATTTCTCCAATTTTCTCTTTCAGACGGGAATCTGATGCCTGTACCACCATTGTATTCTGAAAGCAGATGACTTGTTTTCTAGTTTCACAGGTCTACCAATAAAAGAACTTTGATCACACTCAGTCTCACCCTCATCTGGTTTAGATGATTCAGATGATGACATTGAGACTTTTGAGTTAATGTTATTTGGATGAGATTTTCAATGTAAAGCTGATGTTTTATTGAGTTGAGATTTCTGGGAACATTAGGACTCAGTCAATGTATTTTGCACAGTGAGGGACAGGAATTTTGTGGGGCCAGGAAGAACACGGTAACAGATTGCATTGTGCCCCTAAAAAGTTTTGTCCAAGTCCTAATCCTTGGTACCTATGAATGCAATCTTATTTGGAAATAGGGTCTTTGCATTATAATTAAGGACCCATGAGGTAAAGATTTATGAATGTGCCCTAAATTCAATGACTGATTCCCTTATAAGAGAAAAGAGAGGGATATTTGAGACACAGGGAAGAGGGCCAGGAGAAGATAGAAGCAGAAATTGGAGTCAGTCATACTGCCAGAAGCCAGTAAATGTCACGTGCCATGAGAAACTGGAGGAGAACAGGAAAGAGTTTCCCAGGAAAGAGTTCAGAGGGAGTGTGGCCCTGCTGACACATTAATTTCAAACTTCTAATCCCCAGAACTGTGAGAGAATAGATTTCCTGTATTTCAATCCACCAAGTTTGTGGTAATTTGTTATAGCAGCCCTAGAAGTCAAACACTGTACTTTTCCACTGTCCTTTGAATGAGCTTCTTCCTTCACACACCAAAAAACCTCAAGTACCTCAACTTCTACTTTGTCCAGTGTATGCCCGGGACACCAGTACATTAATACAATAAGATATTTCTCCTGATTATGACATGGCCTTTTTCAAATTACTTCTTACCTAAGTGTTAAAAATAATTACTTGTCTAAATTAATCATCTAAAAATAATTATTTGTCTAAATTACCTCTCCTAAACAGAATATCAACTATTTAACACAGATCTTAATAATAAAAATTAATAGCAATAATACCAGATCTTTAAAAGAAATGGCAGATTATTCATAGGTACCTACTGTTGCTGCCACCTAAAATGCAACTAAAATATCTGAAAAAGAGTATAGGTTTTCTGTTTTGTTTTGTTTTGTTTTGCTTGTAATAGTACAAAGGTATAAAGGCAAAGAGTCAAAGTTGAGAAAACAAAAGACTAAAAGCAGATGCATGTGTGCTAACTTTAATAGCAAAATGAAAAAAAGACAATCTTAAAGAAGCAGTGTGAAAAGTGAGAAATAATTCAATAATACTGCAGAAAACCCAAAATACTCAGGATTTGGTAGCAGCAAAGTACTCTGGAAGAGTAGGTAAAAGGAATCCTAAGAGCAGGATGATTGCCTGAAAGTTTGCTTAATTTGTAGTCCTCCCCAGATCACTTCTACCATTCTGCAGAGCTTGACCCTATACAGTTGTAACAGAGGAATGAGGGTCTATTCTCTGAAGCGGGGAATACAGAAGGTCTCTAAACTGGGAACGTTAGGCACAGATGAGGGCAGGAGTACCAGAGTAAACAAGAAAAGGAGTGAAAGTTTCCACAGTAAATATAAAGGCCCTGAAATCTTTCCTGTTTAGCCTGAATTATCCTCACCAGACAGGAGACTAAATGGACCTTCTCTAGAGAAGGTTATCAAACCAAGCAAGAAAGACCAGCTAAATAATTTTTGAGACTCAGTATAAAATAAAAATGTGGAAACCTTACTCAAAAACTAAGAAATTAAAGATGTCAATAGTAGATTAAACCAAGCATGAGGCCCTTATAAGCATAGGGCCCTGTGCAAATACAGAGGTTGTACACTCATAAAACTAGCCCTGCTCAAAGACACTGACAGTGGGAGAGGGCTGACAATAAACAGCCTCGTCATTATAACTATACAGTCAAGTCTGCTCTACATCATGCCCCATTTGTCAGCATAGAGCTTCCAAACAACCTTTTGCGCCCTATTCCTAAATAAAAGATACCTCTGGAAAACAAAACATTTAGAGAAAGCTTCTAAATGAAAGACAAATATCATCAGACAATAACAGAAAAGGAAAAAGCACAGTTAGAAGAAACATTATATAGGAATAAAAAATAATATTAACATCCTCAAAGAAATAAGAGAAGATATGACACTCATAAAACAAGAACCAAATGCTATAAAAATAGAAGACTCAAAGAACAACAAAAAATAAAGCTCTTGGAAATACAAAACATAGTAATTCATATAAAAATATCAATTGAAAAATAAGATTGCCAGTCATGGTGGCTCACACCTGTAATCCCATCACTTTGGGAGGCCAAGGTGGGTGGATTGCTTGAGGTCAGGAGTTTGAGACCAGCCTAGGAAATAGAGCAAAACACCGTCTCTACAAAAAGTAGAAAAATTAGTCAGACACGGTGGCGCACACCTGTAGTCCCAGCTACTCAGGAGGCTGAAGTGGGAGAATCGCTTGAGCCTGGGAGGCAGAGGTTGCAGTGAGCCAAGATCACACCACTGCACTCCAGCTTGGGTGACAGAGCGAGACCCTGACTAAAAAGAAAAAAGAAAAGAAAAACAAAGTTAAGAAAATCAGACAGATTAGAGAGAGAAAATAAAGGAAAGAAAAATCAATAAAACAGGCAATTCAGTAGATCGAGCAACCAAACAATAGTTGTTACAGAAAGAAGAGAGAAAACAAAACAGTAACACATCAAAAATAATTCAAGGTTCATGTAGATCATGGTGCTATCAACATTTTGAGGGATGCATTAAAACAGAACAAGTCAATGCTCATCAGAACTCCTTTCCATGTTTGGAAGGTGACTGAAATCAACAAGCAGATATCCCTGTGTGCTGCCTTGGGGTGGCCACCTGGGTCTACGACATGAGTGGGTACGCGGGCACTGCAGCAGTGCAGACGTGGGCTGAATCTAGGCATGTTCCTTTTGCACACTCTCAGATACATAATGCCAGTAGGAACTGTTCTATTTGTCAATAAGGGAGACAGAGGCTGCAGATGGCTATGGAGCAAATTCCCTGGTGGCCCTAAACATAGCTGGCAAATGAGACCGATGCTGGTAGCCCTGGAGGGCTACACATGGGTCTTGACAGGAATTGACAGTATTCCACCAGAGTAGAAGATACTGTATGAATTTGGATAGTTGACCATCATTTCTTCACACCAAGGAACACACTGTGCAGCCCATAATGTCCAACAATGGACAGAGAGATGGCCTCCTTAGAGTAATGTAATAGTCTGATAGAGAAGTAGATGGGCAGTTGAAACCTTGGTTGTCTAAAACAGGGAAATAAAGGCATGAATGGTTGGCTTACATGCCTTCACAAGTGTGTGCTCACACTTAACATAAGTGGGACTAAAGGAGTGTCCCCACTAGATTTCTGTTTTTCTGGCTGATCTGGGGGAGAGGGGGTGATGCACACTATACAATTCTTGCCAAGGGAGAAATACACTGATATAACAACTGCATTTTTATATTTCTTCCTCAAATCACTTTTTAAAAATATCTTTTTTTCCCCTACCTGATATAGTGGTCCTAGGACCAGAGCTGCAACTACAAATGCTGGAAGCATGGGTGATTTCTAAGCAAGGAATTGTCAGTATGTTTTTAAACCTCATTTCATAATTTCTAAAGGGCCTGATGGGGGTGGGTTACATCTTCACCCCCATCTAGCAAAATTGGGGTTAAAAGTGAATGTAGCTATATTGTCTGGTGGTAAAAATAGCTCACTAGTATTGTACCTAAGTAACTGTACCTAATCTGAATGGGAATGGACTGAGGAAGAGGTACTTGGTAAACTTAACCTG
This sequence comes from Homo sapiens, assembly GCF_000001405.40. Lineage (NCBI taxonomy): Eukaryota > Metazoa > Chordata > Mammalia > Primates > Hominidae > Homo > Homo sapiens. The sequence goes on along the minus strand of NC_000012.12, from coordinate 28,347,468 downwards.
CTCCCTGCAATCCAGACCAACACAGCAGCAATTCTAATGTCCCTTCCAAAGGTGAAAAAGATAGGGTACTAATGGACAGAAGAAGAAGTAACAGCTGAGAGTAAAGAAATGAATAAGTGGGTTATTAACTGAAGGAAATTCCATATTACATTAACAACTCTAAAGAGTCTCAGAGCAAGAGATGATACTGTCTCTTAGCTCAATTGTTCCAGATCCCTGAAAGGGTAAATAAAGCTGTGCATTTGTCAGGACCACTTCTGCTTCTGGAATCTGAGAAGATTGATAGGAAATCTGCAAACGTGAATGGCCTCACCCTGGGAGACCCCCAAACAATATGATGGACTGAACAAATTATTAATAATTATGTATATTCTTTTGATGTGAGAAATCCATGGTCAAAAACCAGAGGATGGCCTCCAGTATTATGATATATACATATATACTGATTTTCACTGCCAGTTCCTAGCTCATAACTCCTAAAATCCTTGGGGTCTCCAAAGTGTTGTCTTTTATGTGTCTTTTGCCTGATAGGTTCAGGGTAGGGCTGGTCACCAGAAAGACCAAGGCAGGATTAGAGGTTCGGGACATTCAGTCCCGTCCCCCAACATCAAGGGAAAGGATAGAGGTTGAAGGTCAAGTTGATCACCAATGGCCAACAGTTTAATCATCATGCCTACCTCATAAAGCCACTATAAATAACCAAGAGGACAGGGTTTGGAGAGCTTCCAGATAACTGGACACATGAAGGTTCCTGGAGGGTGGCAATCCCAGGGAGCACATGGAAGCTCCATGCCCTTTTCCCATACCTTGCCCTATGTATCTCTCCATCTAGCTATTTTATTTGTATTCTCTAAAATATTCTTCTTAATAAACTGGTAAATATAAAAAAATAAAAAAGCAAAAAACGAATTCAATAAATTTCCCATAACTAAATACTACACACTGAAGGGACGGTTAGAGTTTCTAGACAATAGACAAATATAGGCCCAGAAACTCATCTCCAGCACTATTTTATACTTAAAAGTGTCTCCAGTAAAAACACAACTAAATCATAACATAGCTTAATGCTTAGAGTAGTACTTGGCTTACAAGAAGGGAAATTTCCAAGAGTCCAAAACCCAAAACCGAACTGTAACTTGATTTTTATAGAGAAAACACTTCTAAAAGTCAAGGCTGTCTCAAGAACAAAGGTTTTTATATGGTTTTCAATCAGAAAAACACGCACTGGGGTGGCAACAAATTACAATAACTAGTTATAGACAACTACACTAAAGACCCTGGGATGTATAACCAGCATAGCGCCAGGACACTTGAGATTCACAGCTCTCAACAGAACTAACCACAAATTCACCTGTGAGAGACAGAAGTGTCAATTAAGTCCCAAGAACTCGGTTAATTAAGATCAAATATATATAAGATCACAATAAAAATTAGCCAAAAAAAAATTGCATGGAAAAAAATCACAATGAATAAAAATGCATAAAAGACAATATTCATTTAAAGATAAAAAGTTGTTCAGGAAGAAAAAATTAATCATAATATGTGATATAATTCAGGGATCAATGGCACTGACATAACCATTATACTGTAAAGACTGAATACTGATCTAGTCAAATTTATGATATAACTATATTGGAGGAATAAAGGAACTCCTAGGTTTGGGTCAGAGGTAAAAATACATAAGATCCGAAAAATCAAGAAGCAGAAATATTGTAAAGTATGTTATTTAAAAACATGGTCATAAATATTAATTTTAAAAGTTGAAAGTAATTGCTGTTGGGGCACCAGAAAAATGGCAGGAAGGAGAAAGGACCTGTGAATAGTGTTTTTCATTAAAAAAAGCTTTAGAAATGGCTCTTTAAACTATGTTTATTTGTAATTTGGTAAGAGTTTTTTGTTTTAATTGAGACATTACCTGTGCTTAGAGCTTACACTGCAGTAAGTGTAGATAGTAAGTGAATAAATAGCTATAAAAGTCTCAGTTTCCATATTTAATAACAGTATCTAAATACATAAGGTAACTGTAGTAAAAGGTCAGAAAACACTTAAATGTTCAATATAGGGAACTTGTTAAATAAATGATAGTACACCCATTAAATAGATTATTAAGAAGCAGCTCTTACTATACTGACATAATCTAAGTTATGTTAAGTGAAAAAGTATGATAAATTTTATATTAAAACATGAATATATATGTATGTATACATACACACAAACACACGCATACACATATACACAGTAAATTTGTATATATATACCTAAAATATATTTGGAAGGATATATAAGAAATTGCTAACATTGGCTGACACAAGAAAGGAAAAGTGGGCAGCAGATACCATGGGAAGGGGGCCTTATACTGTATAGCCTTTTGTACTTTTTAAAATTCTGAACTGCATGAAGATGTTGCCATTTCAAAAAATATATTATTAACCTTAAAATAATAAAATACTAAGTGTCTATCTTAGAAACCTAACTCAATGAAATAAATTTCTAATGATGAGGTGGCTGACACCAAAGCTGAGGAACAAAGGCTGACATATTGAGAGGAAATAATAATACCAGCTTCCCCTCAACTCAGTGTAGGCAGATGCCTTCTCTGTCTACTGGCATCTGGCTGACATTAAGCAATGGATATAAACAACCAATGTTTAGAAAATATTTACTGAGGGAGAAAATAGTGGAAGGCTCATGGGTCTAAAAGAAAACCCTCATTCAAAGGCTAATAGCTAAACTTGATTTTCCTCATCTGTAAAACAGATAACAACAATCTCACAGGGTTATTGTGAAAATGCATTCAAAGTAGATAGCATAGTGCCTTGCACATAGTAACCAGTCAGGAAACATTAGTTTTCCTCAGAGTCTTCCTTTTATTTTTGATGACAACTGGGAGGATAATAAAGAGATTTTATCATAACCTTCTGTCTCAGAGTGAAGACTATATATGCCGATAAAATTTGATGGTGAATATGGATAAGCATATGACACATATGAAATAAATCTTTTTCAAATGAGAGTAAAATATTCATAGAAATGGAAAGAAGGCCCATTGCTACAGGGAAACTTCTTCTACTCTATATTTTACCACAGAGATAATGTTTTTTCTAATACATATTCATTGGAGTTTAATGATGATGAAAAGTAAACAGAAGGAAAAATAGGCAAATATTATCTGTTGGCAAAAAGATCACCAAATTTCACTATTTCCTTATAAAACTAGTCAAGCAATGATTAGTATGTGGTTTTATTAACTCCAAGTAAGATTTTTTTAAGTTTGCTAGTGACTACATTGGATTCTTATATAAATGTTACCTCTTTAGTATAACTTTGATTTCTTATTACAAGTATGCTCCAAAAATTTCACACTGCACTATTTTTTTTCCTTTTGTTAAAATATCTATTGGTTCCAAAATAAAATAACTATTTTAGATATGAATTTAAAATACCAGAAAAAATTATTTGTGACTTATAAAATATGAATCACATCTTTCAGATGCTATTTTTCTCTCTCTCCTATCCTGGCAAAAGTAGCTGGCAAGCCAGCAAAAACATTACCTCACTCTTAGAAAAGTAATGTCAATTTTCCTAAAATTAATGTTAGAATAATGCATAGTGTCTGTCAAAAAACAGAGGCATCAGCCTAGATAGGACTACAAAATTACCAGTGTACCAAAAGGTCAGATGATACATTATTTCTAGAGAAGTCGTTTTATAAAATGAGAAACAAATATTCCATAAGAATTTGCTGTATAAAATTTGCTATCAAACCAGTTACATAAATTTAGTTGTATAATTATAGAACCAGAAAAGACCATAAAGATGAAAAAGGAACATTCCTCTCCCCTCCATATTTTATAAATAATGAAAGTACAGGTAAAGAAATTGAACTGTTGGAGACACCTTTTCCCTAAGCTCATTTTTCTGTGTAATAGGAAACTCAACAACTCTCTTGACCTCTTACCCCACCCTTTCTCTCTCCCTCTCTACACATAAAAGGTGAGGTGACCTGAATCCTTGAGTTGGTAAGGAAAAGTTGAGAATGTATGGCTCAGTATCATTCCTCTCAAACTCTCTCCCTCAAGCTCCTCCTTCTACTCTCCCATTCCCACCTCCATATATACATATGATATATGGCTATGCGAATGAATATGTGTGCTTGCACATATGAACATATGTGTATATATTACATTATGCTGTTTATTATATGTGATAAATTGATAGGGACATTAAGAGGGGTTGTATATGTATTTGAATATATATATATATATATATATTACACAATATATGTCAATGTATGTGTATATCTCCTGCTCTCACTCTATTTCAGTCTCTCTCAACATATTTCTTTTATTACTTTCTTTGCTCAATGTCTCTCAATCTCTCTCTCCACCTCCCCATCCCCACCAAACATATCCCTGACTACACAAAACATGCATTTTCTACTCTTCAATGCCTTAAGTTTGATAGGCCAGACTCCTAAGAGGAATATCTAAGGTTATCTGGCTATGTCAAATAAAAAGGCATGATATGCAGTATTAGTGATTCTGTCTGTCTACAAACTTCAGCCTATTTCACATTTTCTTCACACTCAAACCTCCAATATCTCCTCAACTCTCTTTACTCCATTCTTATAAAATGGAAGCTAACAGAAATGCCTTTCCACATATGCCTATTACATCCACTAGTCTGTATGTACCTGAACCCACATATGTAGTCTTCCCTACTATTACTGCAAGAACTTTGTTCCATCTAAAGATAACACCCCATACTTATCCACTAGATCCTATATTCCCTCATCTACTCAGGGGTATTGCTCTCCCCATCTTCAACCTTCAAGGCCTCTCTTTCACTTGGTCATCAATTTTCCCACTCAACTGCATCAATCCCATGACAGAAGCTTGCTATAATATTTTTCAGCAAAAAAATAAATAAATCTTCTCTTGCCCCTCATACACTGAAGAATTTTCTATACTCATCCTGATTCCACTTCCTTTCCTCTCATTCTCTTAAATCCACTCCAACAGACTTTCATCCCCACCACTATGCCACAACTGGCCACTGACATAACAAATGGCCTACTATATTAGTTTTCCATTGCTGTCATAACAAATTACTATAAACTCGGTGGCTTAAAACAACACACATTTATTATCTTACAGTTCTATAAGTCAGAAGTCAACATGTCTCACTGGGTTAAAATGAAGATGCTGGTAGGGAGGACTGCCTTTCTATCTGGAGGCTCTAGGGAAGGGCTTCTTTTGTTTCTTAATTTGAACTGTTGACAAAATTCAGTTCTTTGCACACAGTTTCTGCATCTCAGAAACAACAGGGCATCAAATTCTTCTCATGCTTCTTTGTGTCTCTCACCACAGCCAGAAAAGGTTCGATATTTTTAAGGAATTATGTAATTTGTCTGGGGCTATCAGGGGAATCCAAGAGAATCTCTCTACTTTGAGGTCTGAGATCGTAATTACACCTATTTTAAAGAATCTCTTGACATGCAACATATTCACAGATTCTGGAATTTAGGAGGTGGACATCTTAAGAGGGCAATATTTTGCCTAATACATCTACACAACAGTCTTTTCTTAGTCCTGATTTTAGATAACCTTCAGCAGCATTTGCCACAGTTAACTACTGTTGCCTTTAAACAGACTTTTCTTGGCCTGGATGGCAAACCCACTAGCCACGCATTCTCAGCCTCCTTTTACTAGTTCCTCCACATCTCTCAACATGTGGAAGTACCTCAAATTTCAGAAATAATGAGGATGATGAAATAATAGCAGGAAACATCTACACAGAACTATAGTTTTCAAAGTGTGGTCAAGGAATCCTAAGTGTAATAGGCAGAATAATGGCATCCTAAAAACAAGTACATCCTAATTTCTGGAACCTATGGAGACATCAGGTTACAAGACAAAGGAACTAAGGTAGTTAATGAAATCAATGTTACTAATCAGATGGTTTTAAAATAGGGAGATTATCCTGGATTATTCTGGTGAGTTTAATGTCATCACAAAAGTCCTTAAATGTGGAACAGGGAGCCAGAAGAGTTAGTATCAAAGTGATGATATGGGAGGGGGGCCGGAAAGTGCTGGGATGGGAAGGGCATGGTCCTTGGCTAGGGCTCCACCCCCAGACCTGTGCCCATGGGCCTAGGTGAGGACAGGCACTCCTGCCTTCACACCCAAATGTTGCATCTCCCAAGACCACCCTGGCCTGCCATGCCCCCATCCTATGCTTATAAAATCCCTGAGACCCTAGCAGGCAGAGACACAAGCAGCTGGATTTCAAGGGGAGCACATCAGCAGAAGAAGATGTAGTGGCTGGACGTTGAGAGGACGCCAGTGGAAAAGCACACCGACAGACGTCAGCAAGGCAGCAGACCATCGACTGGCAGAATGACACAGGGTTTGATTGGGGTGGACAGAAGAAAGCCCGCATCACTGAGCAACCCAACTCCAGGGGAAAACAACCTTCCCACTCCATCTCCCTTCTGGCTACCCCATCTGCTGAAAACTACCTTCACTCAATAAAACCTTGCACTCATTCTCCAAGCCCACATGGGATCCAATTCTTCCAGTACACAAAGGCAAGAACCTCGGGATACAGAAAGCCCTCTGTCCTTGCCATAGGCAGGGGGTCTAATTAAGCTGACTAACACAAGCAGCCCGCAGATGGCTAAACTAAAAGAGCACATGATAACACACACCCACTGCAGCCTCAGGAGCTGTAAACATTCACCCCTAGACACTGCCATGGGGTTGGAGCCCCACAACCTGCCCATCTGTATGCTCCCTTACAGGTATAAGTAGCGGGCCACCAAAGAAGCAAGCCACACCCCCATTACACACCCTGCAAGGGGGATAGGGAAACCTTTCCCTTTTCAGTGATGCAATATAAGAAAGACTCAAACAGCCATTTCTGGCTTTGAAGATGGAAGAGGACCATGAGCCAAGGAATGAAGGCCATTACCACAGCAAAAGAAATGTAATGAACTGAGTATTCCTGCAACCCTTTTAGAGAGTTCATAAGCTATTTTCATAAAACTACTGAGATATTCTCTTTTTCACTCTCATTCTCTCATGAATATACACTGGGGTTTTCCAGAGGTTGCATGACCTATGATATCACCAAAGACTGAATAAACAAGGAGATAAGAGAATACAGCTGTCTTCCATGAAGACAGAGAGTAAAAAGATTTGCAAAATGATAAAACAATGTCATTCTTCTCACTAAATTTGTTTTTATTTTGGAAAATATAGCTATGTTTCCCAAAATATTATCCAATATGTAAGGGTTTACAATAGTTTCTTAAATGAGTTAAACATTTTTTAAATTTCTCAGTTTTATATTCTAATATGGTAAATATCAATAAACATAAGCTCTTTGTGATCCACAATAATGACTGAGAGTGTAAAGGGGTCTTAATGTCAAAATATTTAGCAACCACTGGTACTATATACAAAATATAGCTATAAGTAGTGTGTGTATATATACATATATATGTGTGTATATTCATATTAATACAGTGATTTGATCCTCACAATAACTATTACAGATAAGTACTGTGTTTATCCTTGTTTTACAGACAAGGACACTGAGGTTCATTAAGAGTAAACAACATGCCCCACTGCTGGTTGAAGTGAGATTCAAACCTGGGCATTCTAGCTCAAGTCCGTGGTTGGGCACTGCTTCTCAGGGCTCAAATTTCTCCAGAGTTGTCTGTCAGTATCCATGCAGGATTGGTTCCAGATCCCAGGCAAATACCAAAACCTGCAGATGCTCAAGTCTCTTATATAAAATGGCATGGTATTTACACATAATCTCTTCATATCCTTCTGCATACTTTATATATCATCTCTATTTATTATACCTAACAAAATGTAAATACTTGTTATATTGTATTTTTTATCTATATTATTTTTATTGTTTTTTTTTTCCCAAATATTTTTGATCCACAGTCGATCAAATCTGCAGATACAGATAAGGAGGGATGATACTATTTACATTTACTCTGAAGGTGATCACATCTAGCCACATGTTTAAGTATGCCAGCCCCAAACCCCTAATGCCAGGTTCATGTACTAGCTGCCTATTCAACTATCTAACTGGATAACTAAAAGTCTTCTTAAATTTAACCTTCCCCAAACTAAACTGATTCCCTCACCTCTCCAAACATTTTCTTCCCTCAGATTTCCTATGTCAGTAAATGGAAAATTTTTCAGGCTCTTCAGACCAAAGATCTAAACTACTCCCTTTCCTTCATGCTTCACGTTAGTCTGACAGAAATCCCTGTCAGCTCTGCCTTTGAAATATATACCAGAATCCAGTTGGGCATGGTGGCTCATGCCTGTAATCCCAGCACTTTGGGAAGCCGAGGCAGGTGGATCACCTGAGGTCGGGGGTTCCAGACCAGCCTGGCCAACATGGTGAAACCCTGTCTCTACTAAAAATATAAAAATTAGCTAGGCATGGTAGTGCATGCCTGTAATTCCAGCTACTTGGGAGGCTGAGGCAGGAGAATTGCTTGAACCTAAGAGGCGGAGGTTGCAGTGAGCCAAGATTGCGCCATTGCACTCCAGCTTGGGCGACAGAGCGAGAGTCCGTCTCAAAAAAAAGAAAGAAAGAAAAAGAAAAAAAGAAATATACCAGAATACAACCACTTTTTACCACCTCCATTTGCCACTGCCCTAGTCCAAAGCATCCATTTTCTCTTCCCCAGAACATGGCAATGGCATCCTACTGGTCTCTCCCCACCCTATACAGTGTATTTTCCCCACAGAGGTCAGAGTGATTTTTTTTTTTAATTCATGACAATCATGGCACTCTTGTTTAAAATAGCTTTCTACGTCAATAAGAGTAAAATCCAAAATCCTTACCTTGGCCTACAGGGCCTTATGTAGGGTGGCCCCCTGGTATCTCTCTATTATTTGCATGATTACCCCTTCCAGCACCCAAACATCTTTGTACTTTCTGAAAGCACATCAAGCACAATCTTATCTCAGGGCATTCACACTGTTTTCTCTACCCACACACACACTCAAGATTCACGGGTGAAGCACACCTACATGGCACATGTATACATATGTAACAAACCTGCACATTGTGCACATGTACCCTAGAACTTAAAGTATAATAATAAAAAAAAAAAACACTATGGGGGTGAGTTTAGGGGAAAGTCTGTGATAAGTACATAAGAAAAAAAAAAAAGATCCATAAGGGCCAATACCTGTACTTGCTAATAGTCTCTACTCAAATATAATCTTGCCAGAGGGGCCTTCCATTACCACCCTATATAAAAGACCATATCCTACCATTTTCCAGCTTGCTTATTATTCCTCATTTTTCTTCAAAGCACCATCACCACCTGAGAAACTACAAATTCATCTATTTGCTCTATGTCTATACACCACTAAAATATAGACTGTAAATTCAAGACTTCTGTCTCTTGGGTTCAGAACTTTCACCCCTGACAATATCTGGTGAGCTGGTGCTCATTATTTATTAATGATGCATTAAATTATTAGGAAAAATATTCACCAAAAAACAGAACTTAGATAATGGAGTTTAAATCAATACTCATAGCATAAAAAAAACTATAGAAATTTATAAGAAATATTGCAATCCCAAAAGGAAAAATGTTCAAAAAATGGGAATAGAGAGTTAAGAAAAACAAAACAAAAACTACCTGATAAAAATATTTTAGTCCAAGGCAATGAGTAATTTTCAAAAATTCAAATTGAAAGGTAGTATTTTTTTCTAACTTTCAAGTACTAAAACTCTTTTTCCATGTATTAAGTGGATCAATAGATGAGTATGAGATAAGCACTGACAATGTAACTTGGTTCAAACTTTCATAAAACCAATTTAAAGTATGTATTTCCATCCTATGATAATTCCTCTTCAAATAACCGTAACTTTAAAGAAAAAAAAAAACAAGGTCATGAATCAAGACAGACTTTCCTGCATAAAGATATTCAGAAATAACATGATTTTAAAATAATAAAGAAAACAATGATCTAGATAAAAAACAAGATGATTTTGAAAAGCATGTTTCATTGCTAAGATGAGATATTATAAAGTTATGTTAATAAAGAATTTATTTTTAAAATGGGGCAGGTTTGTTATGTTAGATAGATAATGCTATAGGAGCAGTATGAATTCAATCACATTCAAATTATTCATTAACGAAAAACATCAAATACATGTTGTTATTTGGTGGAAGTATTATGGAAAATATTACAACTGATTCTTGGCATGAAAGATAACTTATCTCCTAGGAACAGTGATTACCTTCAAAAGTATGCAATAAATTGAGATAAATATAATGAAATTAATGATTTCTAACTGGGGGCAATTGACCTGGATGGAAAAGCTACTTGATACTGAGGCTTTACTAACGCTTAGTAACTTGAACCAACAATGATGCAGGAAAAGCATTTTGCATATCATCAGGATGAAACACAGAGCTATTGACAATTTTATTATAGAAGGAATTTGAATATACTAAAAGATGAAAAATATTGTCTTCAGTTAACTTTTTAAAGTGAAAATTACATGTAATAATCCATATAAATATATAAAGTTTGAATAGTTATCAAATTTTAGTTTAAAAAATATTTTTTCACAGGACATTCTAGCAAGGACTACTTTTTTTCCTCTCTACTTTCAGGAATGGGAATATTACATTAGGGGCAGATAGGTGATCTGAAAATGAATTACCTGTAGCTGCAAAAGCATGAACAATGTCAGACCTTCCTATTCTCCTGTCTACTTTCATGTTTTATAAACATCTCCAAAAATGACTCTTCATTTCTAGGAATGAAAAATGCCATGCATACTAGAAATAACAATTTACTATGATTTAAGCAAGACTTTTCAAGCTTCAGAAAATAGTCACCAACAAGCCTACCCCTGCCAAAATGTTAGCCTAAAATAAAATGTTGAAGTTGAATTATTAAGTCTATGAAAGTTTTCTTTAAGAGATAATGTAACCATAACTACAAAAATCACAACACTGGAACCATTGCTAAAATTTCTAATATGTATAATACACAGCATAAATCTTTTTTGTTCTATTAGGACTTAAGGAGCACTTTAAAAATCACACTTAAAATAATACGGATACGTCCCAATTTTCCAATTATTATTATTCTGATTAGAGTACCTATGAATCAGATTCTCTTCCTTCCTTGCCATCAATTAGTAATTACTTTCTGCTCACAACTAACCAGGCTAGACAAGCATAAAATATTCCAACCAGTTCTACTCTGGGAGTATCCTGTTCTTCTGAATTAGGGCCCTGGTGACTAGGAGTTGCCTGTTTATTTTTTCTATTTATTACTAAGAAATTAGATTGAATGAGCCATTTGTGTTTCTTTGGGAAGGGGATTAAGGGTAAAAAAAAAAAGTAGTTCAAATTTACTCTCTGATAATAAACCAATAATCATTTCCGAGGAAATAAAATCTATGGCAAATATCTCTGCTATAGATAAAAAATTGTGTGGTTTTTTTTTAAAAAAAAAAAACAGTCCAAACTTTTCTATAGGCCATGATGCAACACTGTCTACATGTCAGTTTAAGAACTGGCACTCATAAAGCTGTCCTTCCACCAAACATATGGTAACACAGAGTTAATATAATCTCTAAAAAGACAAAAATAATGAGAAAAAAAGGGGAGATAAGAATGTTTGCCTTATGGGAGAATTCTACTAAAAATGGTTGAAGTATTTAAATAAAATACTTTTAAAATTAAAATCCTGAGGACAGGTGTGGTGGCTCCTGCCTGTAATCCAGTACTTTGAGAGGCCAAAGCCAGAGGACTGCTTGAGGACAAGAGTTTGAGATAAGCCAGGCTACAAAGGGAAGCTCAGTCTCTACAAAAAATAAAAGAATCAGACGGGCACGGTGGCATGCACCTGTAGCCCCACCCACTCAAGAGACTGAGGTAGGAGGATCGCTTGGGCCTGGGAGGTCGAGGCTGCAGTAAGCTGTGATCACACCATTGCGCTCCAGCAGAGCAAGACCTGGTCTCAAATATATATATATGTATTTTTATATATTTATATATACATAATATTTATATATAAATATATATTTTATATGTGAATATATATTTAAATATATAAATATTTATAATATATTATATTATACATAATATGTATTATATATTATATTATATATAATATGTATTATATATTATATATTATATGTATTATATATTATATAAGTATACTATGTATTTATCTACATATTTATATGAATATATATTTATAAATATAATATTTATATTATAAACATTATATTTAATATATGTTATAAATATATATAATATAAATATATGTATAAAATATAAATGTATATTTATATTTTATATTTTTTACATTTTATATATTTTAATGTTTAACTTTTTAAATATTTATATATTAAATATTTTATATATTTTTATATATTTAAATTTGTATATATTTATACACACACACATAAACACTGAACTAAACAGTACCTAATATTTGGTATCTTCTCTAAACCCTATTAAGGAGACATTTTAGAAGACTGACTGATGAAACGAACAGGCTATATACCTATCATTTCACACTCTAGGGCATATGCTAATTTTGTCTATTTGGATATGAGGATTGTTACTGTTATGTTTGGTTGGTTTGGTGCCCAAGTGCTTTTGGCTTTTGCCATTACACTGAGTTACACTTCCTGTAAGGTAAATGTATATGATACTGCCCCATTGGATTTCCTTACTTTATTAGGCAACCCAGAAATCCAAAAAACCATTTTCTAAAGTATAAAAAAATGTATCCTAAGGAGTAAATAAAAGTATCCAAAATTTGTGCTCCAGAATTTATGTGCAAGGAGAATGTTCCCAAACCCTAATACAGAAGCAAGCCACCTGCCCTTCTTTGAGCAATTCCAACAAGGCTAGTTATCTGGTTTCTAACCCCTCCCCAGACTAGACCAAAGACAAAGGATGCCATAGGCAAGGATAGAGAAGAAATAAAAATAGATGATTTTAGGCCACCTGAACTCTTTAGAGAAAAGAGGTTTTTACCTATTAATATAATGCCAAGAATATAAAGAGCTCATATTAGGTGCTTAAATATTTTAGTTTTAAATAAAACCCGTTTTCCTCTTCAAAAACCATTCCTTCAAATTGCCCGAGGCCAGAAGCTAGATAAAGAATAGAACTATACAAACTCCTAACTCCCACACCAGATATCCATATCTGCAAGCACTTGTTTGGAAGCAAGTCTCCCAAACAAGAAAACATCCCTGCCACATATAGCGCCTCACATTCCTCAAGCTGTTAGACTTCTAACAAATAAAACTCATAAACCCCTCCCTGCACTTGATACTTTAAGGCTAAAAGACACACATACACATACACATACACATACACACACACACACACACACATAAATTCTGCCAGAAGTCGTTTCAATTCCAAATAAAAGATAAGCACAGAAGTCTGTCATGTAAGTACAAAAACAAACCAAAATAAATCATCATCAATATTTTTTAAAAGGTAATAACTCAGTGATTAACAAAAAGATCTTCAACAGAGATGTAGCTACAAAAAAATAGAAAAACATTTTGGAAAACTTGTAACTCACATTCGCATTAGAACTTAAAAGGACAAATTACACGTGTGAGAAACTAGACTGTCATAAAGTCTATATAATCTGACGTATGGAAACGCCACTGAAAAATAATCCTAATGATTTCTAAATTTAAAGCTGCAATAAAGGTAATCAAGAATAGATTTTCAAGTACAGGAAATAAAATAATGAAAGCCGAGATTCCCTGAGGAGTATCTCTAGAAAGATACCAAGATAGAGATAAAAGTGAAAAGCAAAAGATGAGACATGAACAGAGCCATCTGTTCCCAGATGGAGTCAATCTATATTATTCGAAGATTCCATATTTAAGAGTTTGCCTACTGGCTAAACTTATTTGTAACCCAAAAATAAATATCCTAGGTGCTTTTGTGGTCATTTGTGGACATGCACAAAGTGGGAAAAAAAATTTATTGTTTATTTAATTTTTTTTTTTTTTTTTTTCTGAGATGGAGTCTTGCTCTGTCACCCAGGCTGGAGTGCAATGGCGCAATCTCGGCTAACTGCAAGCTCCACCTCCTGGGTTCACGCCATTCTCCTGCCTCAGCCTCCCGAGCAGCTGGGACTACAGGCACTTGCCACCACTCCTGGCTAATTTTTTGTATTTTTAGTAGAGACAGGGTTTCACCATGTTAGCCATGATAGTCTCGATCTCCTGACCTTGTGATCAGGATGCCTCAGCCTCCCAAAGTGCTGCAATTACAGGTGTGAGCCACCATGCCTGACCCCAAAGTGGGAAAAATTTTCAGTTGCCCAACATACACATTCTCAGCTAAGGTCATACCAGGTAGAGCATTGTATGATTCTTGTTTCAACTGTCATACTATAAACAAGTATCATTTTCTTGGTCTTTTTAACACCATGTTTTTCACAGTTTTTGCTTACTGCTGTGATTTCACTGTTTAAAATGGTCCCCAAGCATAGTAGTAAGGTGCTGCCTAATGTTCATAAGTGCAAAGGCTATGACATGCCTTACGAAAAAAAAAACACTTGTGTTAGATAAGCTTCCCTCAGGCATGAGTTACAGCGCTGTTGGCCATGAGGTCAATGTTAATAAATCAGGAATATCTAATAAGGGGATTTCCACAGAAACACACATAAAACAAGGTTGTATACTGATGAGTGAGGAAAACAACTGAGGAGCTACGTCCTAGAAAAGTCAGAGGGGATGAGCAGAGCATTAAACTAGTTTGGTCCATTTTAAGACCACTAATACTCCCAAATCTTTATTAACTTCCACAAAATATAGAGCATATTTTCTGAATCAAAAGTCAAGATAAGTAGTTTGATCAAATATTTTTTCTCATTTGTTAATTTATTCCTATGAAAGGTAATATACAGGTATATAAAAGTAGTGTTTTCTAATCATCTTTTTAAAAATAATCTTTAAAAGCTATCATATTTTTAGGTCATGCTTCCCCTTCAGTTACTTAGGATGCTCTTTTCTGAATCTCCTCCAGGATTTTCAATATCTTCCTTAAAATGAAAACTGCAAAAACTAGGCATGAAAGTCACTCTTAAATCGCTTAAG
The DNA here is from genome assembly GCF_000001405.40 of Homo sapiens. Taxonomy (NCBI): domain Eukaryota; kingdom Metazoa; phylum Chordata; class Mammalia; order Primates; family Hominidae; genus Homo; species Homo sapiens. Next base: position 28,332,309 of record NC_000012.12, on the reverse strand, counting down.
AGATGTTAAATGTACCTTAACACAAGTTAATGTATCATCGTGGTACTATCTGGACCTTTTATTTACTGATTTTTTTGTCCTTACTGAAGCAATAAGTCCCAGATCTGATTTACCTGTTCCTATGTCAGTATGTTATGAATAGCATTCCTACAGTTTAATTATGAAACATGTAATTTACTAGTAAGTATAGACACTTAGAATCCTTTCTGAATGAAGGATAAAAATAAATTTACATATTAATTTGTAAAAACCTTAATGAAACATTTAATCACATTAAGTATTTTCTGACTATGAAGGAAATAAACAATTCTTTTAAAGAAGGATTGAAGATTGTAGCCCCCATCTACAAAATTACTAAACTCCACCCTTAAAAATGTATCACATCTCACATTGTTTTACACATATGATATCTCCAGTGTTTGATTCTTAAGAGTAGGAACCATTTCTTATATATTTTTACGTATTTCATAATCTATTCCTAGAAAAAACTAGGAGCTCAGCTGGTAAGAATCTGTTTGGTTTCCAAGCCCTAAGAAATGTGTCCCAAAGAGGCACACTTCAAAGACCAGAGTTTCTAACAGTGATTTTAAAGGCATGCTTACTAAAGCATGCTTACTATATGCTTACTAAATAGGCATATCAGGGCTAATATAACTGCACAAAAACAGTGAACTATCTCCTAGCTCTGGGTAAAGAACTGTGCCATACAAAGTAATTTTTTGAAACATAGTCTAATTTGTTATGACTATTGTCCCATAATATCTTAGGCTTCAAAACAAGGGGAAAAAAATATTTCAAGAACTGTGGCATTTCCATAATGTTTTAAAAATGATTTTTCAAAAGGGCTTAAGGCAAAACTACCCCATCATCACCATTTTCATAGAATACAATACTTTTGCTTCTATTTTGTCCTGTAATTTTAGCCCAGCCTGACGTTTTTTCCTCACATGAACCTCTGTCAGGAAGACAGCTGTGCTGGCTGCAAATACCCAGTCTACAATATTCATCCAGGAGATTACTGACAACTCAAAAACCACAAGCATGGCGTTAAGATTGTATTTAAACATACTGTGGGGCTAGAAAGTAGTATTTAGCCTGTAGTTCCATCCGTTTTTATTATCACCAAGGTGAAATAAATATAAAAGGAAATCAATGAGTCTTTGCCTCAGAATATTTCCTAATCTTTTTAATACATTTAGAAGCCACTAGATCACAGTTTTAACAGATGCCTTTGTCTTAGATATCTTATTGAAAACACAAAAAATAAATTCTAATCTGGAAGCATAACCTTTCTTTGCTGAAATGAAACAAATCCAAAAGAGCAGGCAAAAAATCAGTTTTATTATCCTTACTTGTGATGACAATCTCTTCTCAATAGGCTTTCTCCAATATCTGAGGGGTTTTTGGTTTGTTTTTTAAAGGGCAAAACTTTGAAGTATGAGAAGTAATCACAGTTAAATACCTATAACCCACTGGATTGTTATAAGCTCTACAACAGCAATAATCTAAAGTGTAGTATTTATCAGTCTAGCTGCAACCCCTATAGTGTGCCCATCAAGGCACTCTATGAAAATATTTTAGCAGCCACCTCAATGTTGCTTAATAATCCTTAATAATGTCCTTAATCGGACTTCATGACTAAAACACCAAAAGCAATGGCAACAAAAACCAAAATAGACAAATGGGATCTAATTAAACTAAAGAGCTTCTGCACGGCAAAAGAAACTACCATCAGAGTGAACAGGCAACCTACAGAATGGAAGAAAATTTTTGCAATCTACCCATCTGACAAACAGCTAATATGCAGAATCTACAAAGAACTCAAACAAATTTACAAAAAAAAAAACAACCCCATCAAAAAGTGGGCGACAGATATGAACAGACACTTCTCAGAAGAAGACATTTATGCAGCCAACAGACACATGAAAAAATGCCCATCATTACTGGTCATCAGAGAAAGGCAAATCAAAACCACAGTGAGATACCATCTCACACCAGTTAGAATGGCGATCATTAAAAAGTCAGGAAACAACAGGTGCTGGAGAGGATGTGGAGAAATGGGAACACTTTTACACTGCTGATGGGAGTGTAAACTAATTCAACCATTGTGGAAGACAGTGTGGCGATTCCTTAAGGATCTAGAACTAGAAATAGCATTTGACCCAGCTATCCCATTACTGGGTATAGACCCAATGGATTATAAATCATGCTACTATAAAGACACAGGCACACGTATGTTTACTGCAGCACTATTCACAACAGCAAAGACTTGGAACCAACCCTAATGTCCATCAAAGACACACTGGATTAAGAAAATGTGGCACATATACACCATGGAATACTATGCAGCCATAAAAAAGGATGAGTCCATGTCCTTTGCAGGGACATGGATGAAGCTGGAAACCATCATTCTCTGCAAACTATCACAAGGACAGAAAATCAAACACCACATGTTCTCACTCATAGGTGGGAACTGAACAATGAGAACACCTGGACACAGGGCGGGGAACATCACATACTGGGGCCTGTCACAGGGTGGGGCCTGGGGGAGGGATAGCATTAGGAGAAATACCTAATGTAAATGACGAGTTAATGGGTGCAGCAAACCAACATGGCACGTGTATACCTATGTAACAAACCTGCGCGTTGTGCACATGTACCCTAGAACTTAAAGTATAATAAAAAAAATAATAATCCTTAATAATGTCCTTAATATCTGACAATTTATAAGATCTATATACACTATGTCTGTCATTTAGTCAGTAATTACTGATTCAAATTCCTATTTAAATAAAAAGGTGTCTCAAGTATATGTAGACCTTATCATATAAAATTAAATATAATATATTTAGGTATATGCACAAGAGAGTTTATGACATGGAAAAACAGTTTCACCTATGAAATATATCTTTAGGTTTTAGATCCTGTATGTCCACATTGGTGCCAAGGATGCAAAAGGAAGAATTTGGTGGGAATGAAATACATGCCACAATATTATAAACAAGCTCTCTAAAATGAATAAAACGACGGAAAGTCAACCAAAGGACATAGACTTTAAAATCCAACCCAAACACCTTGCTTTAGTAATACTTTCATAAAAATTATTGGCCCTTGAAATCCAACATTGAACTGAATCATTATTTGCATAACAGGCAAGTGATTCACATTTTAACTTGCTTTCTTCAGTTATTATTTCAGGAAGACTTCTTTATTTTCCATTCAAAACCATATGTAGAGTCCAGGTATGAAAAATGCATTTTTATTTTTTGAAAGACACATTTTATGAGGTTAGTGGAAAGTAAATGGTTTACAATTTTTTTCCAAACACCATTGGTTCTCATTTCTTTTCCATTGTCTGAAGCTTATCATTTGCTTCCTACCTTTAAGCTACTGACTTAAACTGTTTTTCTTATTTTAAGCATCTATATTCAATAAACTATCCTATAGCTGAGTGTCCTAAAAAGAAAGATTATGTTCAGTTTATAAACAATAAAGGAGTTAAAAAGAAAAAAAAATCGCATCTGTTTATATCATATCTAACACATTCATAAAAAATAATAATTCTTTTTAGTCATTGCCATTTGGAAAATGTGATGCCTCTCTCATAAAATGAACAACAGAACATCATTATGGACAGAGGAAAGTTTTATATTCTCTCACTACATCTTAACAATTCTACTGCTTTTAAGCACAAGCACTTCACCCAAATTTTAAGGGATCATTACTGCAAATCCTATGAAATGTCTATACAACTTCCACTATGCAAGGAGTCAGCTTTTCCTTACAAATTATTATGTTGCTCTTTCTAAATTGGCAATCTGAAAATAAAAGCTGCAGTTCAGTTTCAACAAATGTTTTGACAATAACTACAGACTTATTTTTTTCTTGGCCTCAATATTCCATTATATGTGTATAGTCACTAATTCTGATTTTTTTTAATTTATAGTTTTCTAGTTTGATGCTGAAAATCACAAAAGACATCCAAAACTTTTGTGCAGAAAAATGAGTTGCAAATAAGTAAATGGAAAAAAAATACAATATGTTTAGCACACAGAAAACAACAACCAAAGCTACAAACAGCTGATGTGGAAATCGAAGGTGAAATGTAGTTCAAATACCTTTCTCTAGATAATAATGTAAGGTAGATGGCAACATGTCTAAGACTCATTTTTCCTGTATTCTTAGAGATGTTGACAGCCATACAAACATCAAATAAACTGTGATGCCCTGAAAGGCAAAGAAATTTAAAAGTTAAATTTCAGTGTTAAATTAACAGAGTGCCCCTATATTACCAAGAATATATTACACAGGGGGATCTTTTTGTTACCCAGCATAACGCCTACAAGATCTGCCTAGCTGAATTCCTATCTCACCTTAACTCTGCTTATCTTTAGGAAACAGGATGCCTGAGGTCAGAAGTTCCCTATTATGACCAAACCTGCTAAGACTGATGAGATTCAACATGGCAGCTCACTTGGCCTCTGAAGAACTTCAGACTTCATTATAATCTAATTTCCATGCTAAATGACACTCCCACCAGTGCCAGGACAGCTGACAATCACTACTGAAGTGGCGTCGTTGTCCGGAGTAAATACCCAAGGTTCGTTGTTTCACGCCAAGGGAATCAAGGATGTGGACACACAAGAAGTGGGTTTAGAAGCAAAGGTTTAATAGGCAAAAGAAAGAAAAAGGGGAATAGCTCTTTTTCTCCTGTGAGACTTCTGGCCCATGCTGAAGTACATGGGCTTTTATAGACTGCTAGAGGAGGTGGTGTCTGATTTACATAGGGCCCAAAGATTGGTTGGACCAGGTGTGACATTTACATAGTGCAAGGAAGATGGCCACTCCACCCTAATCTTTTTATTATACAAATGGATTTTCTACTTGGCCAGCACCATGTTGTCTGCTCCTTACACACACATGGTTTGGAAGGGACAGGGAAGATGGAGCCACCATGTTGAACATGCATAGCCCCCAGGTAGCCTTTTCCTATTGGCACAGCTGCCAGCATTCACCTGTGCAAGCTTCCAGCTTGCTTGTCTATGTCTGCAGCTCAATTTTACAGGCTGCCCTTTGTTAGAAAAGAAAATGATTTGGGGGCTGCTTTTCATTAAAAGGAAAACCTTACTGAGGACTTCCCTACCCTCCCTCTATCTGCCTAAATAATTTCTTTTTAACTCCTATATCACTATGACAAGTATTGGAAGAAACCCTAAAAGGACAAAAAGGTAGCGCTCCGGTTTTGAGAAGTTCTCTGCCCATTTCAGAACAGACATGAATATTCTTCTCCTTACTTTTAATGCCCAACCTCTTCATTAAAGACGCCCTATATCTGTGACTTTCGGCTCTCATGAGCTGAGAAGTTGATTTGTGAGCCAACCTCCTGCTTTTCAATTCTATTGCATCGAATAAAACCTTCATTGCTTGTTGTTCACCTTCAGTTTTGTGTACTGGCTTTATGGCACTCAACAGAGAAACCCATTTTGGGGGGGACCTGCTTTGTTAGTAACACTTTGAATTCCGCTTACAATAAAGCCGGTTTCATTTATCATCACTTGTTTCTTTTTTTAAAATTAGCTGTGGAATTTTCTATAAATAGAATGGAGATTTAACGTTGTCTCAGAAAATAGCTTTAAAAATCATTCAAACAAAAACCAAACACTGCATATTCTCACTCATAGGTGGGAACTGAACAATGAGAACACATGGACACAGGAAGGGAAACATCACACTCTGGGGACTGTTGTGGGGTGGGGGGAGGGGGGAGGGATAGCATTGGGAGATATACCTAATGCTAGATGACGAGTTAGTGGGTGCAGCGCACCAGCATGGCACATGTATACATATGTAACTAACTTGCACATTGTGCACATGTACCCTAAAACTTAAAGTATAATAATAATAAATTTAAAAAAAAACAATTCTAACATAAAAAATAAAAATAAAAATAAAAATCATTCAAACATTAAATTTGCTATAAGTCTACAAAAGATGTATAATAAAAAATATCCCAAATGGTCCAAAAAATTTAGTCTTGCTCAAAAACGAACCGTAGTTTGAGCCACAGCAATGTCTCACAATTGTAGTGGAACAAATGTGGACTTGTGTCTTACTTCTAAGCAGAATCTCAGCATCATGTATATAATGGCACAGAGAACAAATGAGGGGTCCACTGGAGGGAAAAATACAGATTGCCACAAATATCTCTTAGACAAAAAAACTTTTTTTGGAAGCAAAGCATATGGCCAGGCATATATGCCTCAACTATAAAGGAATTAAGAGTGCTACTTTTGCTGATAAAGTTTTGTATGCAAGGAATATACTTGTTATCAAATATCTTGCAGAATGTAAAATCCTTTATTTCCTATAGTTCCTTACTGTGCCATATTGTTTAAACATAATTTGATTAGGTCTATACATTTTTTAAAATATAAAATTAAACACAACTAAAATAGAATAATATTTCCTAAATAGAAGTTTCAAAATCATTAAGCCCTCCCCACCCCCTTGCCCTACCTCTATCATTAAATAACTTCACCTCCCATTATACTTCCCCCTCATTCATTCTGCTTCAGCAACACTGGTTTAATAGATTCCTAATCCAGTGCATTTTCCTTGGCTGTTTCTTATGCCTAAAATCTCCTCTTCTTGCCATCTTCAACTTTTGGCTTTAAAGTCATCTTTTAAATGAAATCCTGATCACTTCACTAAAAATTATAACCCACCCCTCCTCTACTCCAATACTCACAATGTATCCTTTACCTTGCTATAGTTTTCATCACTTATTCACTTTCTACTTTATAATTAACTTATTTTTATGTTTATTAAACACTGTCTTTCTTATCCACTAACATGTTACTCCATAAGCAGTGATTTTTGTTGTTTTTCCGCTAATGTATCACAATCACCCAAAATAGAACTTGGAACATAGAAGGCATCTTTTAAAATTTTTGTTAGATGAATAAATATATGAATAAACCTGTTTCTTAACCATTTCAGGAGAAAAAGTACATTCAGACCTCCTAACAGAGCAACTTTTTCTTACATAAAGAAATCACTTACGGTATCTATTAATTTTAGTTAATAACCAAACATTGCCATTGTTTTTCTTTTCTATTTGTATACATTCAATTACTTTTATGTGATTCCCAATTTATCTAATATCTTTCTTCAAACAATAAAAACATTTCAGAGCTGCTGTCTTATAACAAAAGCAACTGGATGCAATTGTTTTTCTTAGCAACACAGAATACTATAAAAATTCATTCTCCTATTACATTATGACAAATAGCACATTCTGCCTCTGCTTGAGAGCTTTTGAATGCTTCATTATTATGCTTCCAAGTGACATTCGTTCATAAAATTATGTGTTATACATTTAATATTTAATATTAATATATTCTGTGCTAAATACTGAGAATATCAATCAAAAGAAAAATATCATTTCAAATTGTATGGTTCTTACGGTCTAGATGGGATGGAAAGTAAGATACTAAACAAAAAATAAAAATAACATGAGCAAACATTTATTACAGTGTTGTGTGCCAGGCATTGTTCTTAAACACTTCAGAACATGAACTAACTTAATCTTCACAATAACTCAAAAAGGAAGTATTATTATTATTATTATTTTACAAGTAAGGAAAATGAAACCTTGTAAGGTATTTTCAAAGGTTGACGTTAATCCTAAGGAAAAGAGAAAAACCACTGAAGAGTTTTAAGCCAGAGAATAAAATGATCGGATTTGAAGAATTATTCTGGCTTCAGCATGAATATTGGATTCGAGAAAAGTAAAATTACAGTAATCTGAGTGAAAGGTGATTGCTCCCTAGGCTAGGGCAATGGCATTGCTGAGGGAAAGAATGTTAATGATTTGAGAGAGACTGAGGAAGAGAAGATTTAATGCACATAAAGGTTATTTGCCCACCTCTTGACAGTCCCCCTCCCCACTTTGCTGTTATTAATTTGCTATAGAGTGAAAGAAACAATCATTATTTTTGTGAACCATACTTTTTTTTAAAGTTTCACAAGGAAATTTTACAAATTAGGGTCTGAAGAATTTCACAAATCTCAAAGCCAAGCCATTCTAGATTCTTTCCTCTTTCTCACCCCCAAGTTACATTTTCTAAATGTTCTAAATATCCTTCAAACATCTCTCCCTCTCCTCCAACTTTATTTGTATTTCTTTACTTTATTAAGATCTCTGTATTTCTCTTGGACTAATGCAGCAGACTCTAAAAAGGTCTCTCTAACTCCATCTCATCTCCCTCCAACTCATCCATATCAACTGCAAGAAATATCTTTCCAAAATGCAAGTATGTTTAGTGTTACTCAACTGCTAAAAACATTTTGACAGTTTCTAACAAAATTTTCAGATTCAGCTACAAAAATGCCTTCCCCTCACATCCTATGCTGACATACCAATATCCCTCACTACTGAAACTCTAGTACTAGCAGTTTTTCACACAGGTCATGTTATTTCACAACTGCAGGGCTTTGCATATGCCACTCCGTCTATAAGAAGCTACCTTCCCCACCTGACTATTTGGCAAAGACCTATTTATATTCTGAGTCTAAACTCTAATGACTTCCCCCTAAAAATAGAGAATAATGTCAATTTTGCATCTATACATCTAAGAATTTAACAAAATTTCTATCAAAATCGCAACAGGGTTTAAAACCTTGATTAAATGATTATTAAATTCAACTGTTAAGAGTAACAGGCAAGAATAGTTAAGAAAAGAAAGCATAGCCCTATCAAATCTCTAAATGTGCAATAAAACAGAAATGTAGGTGGTACTATCACAGGAATACACAGACACATATCAACAGAAATGGAAATCAAATCTAGAATATATCTAAGTATATATGGAAATTTAATATACGGCAAAGATGCATTCCAAATAAGAAGGGACAAGAGGGACTGTTTTACAAATATTGTCATGGTAACAAGCTAACTGTGTGGGAAAAGGAGTAATTAGACTCTATCTCACTCTATCAATACGAAGTCCAGATAGATCAAAAGTTAAATGTAAAATGAAACTACAAAATGACCGGAATTGAACATAGACAAATATTTTCTAACCCAAAACTCATATATAAGAGACTAACCTTATACTATTATATACTAAAATATATAATAATTAACAGTATACACCATTACTAAAAAATTTACTAGAGTTAATTTTTTAAATCAACTGTAGAAAAAGCTATCAACATAAAAAAATTCCAGAATATATGATAAAATGTAAATAATCCTAATATATAAAGGTTCTTATAAATCACTTAAGATAAATAGAATTTTTTAAATTAAAAATAAAAAGATACAGGAAATGTAGGGGAAAAATGATCAACAGCCATATGAAAAAAATCTAACATACTAATAAGGAAATAAAAATTAAAATATCAAAAGTTATATTTTACTTCTCTAACTGGCATATTAAAAGTCTGGCAATACCCAGTAGGCAAGGATATGGTAAAACAGGCATTCTCATGTATTTCTTGGTGAAAGTATAAATATGTATAATATTCTGGAAGACAAGTTAATACTATCTGTCTAGAAGTTATCCATAAAGTATAAAATTATAGGCATCTTTTACTTTCTAAGTTATGGATTTCTATATTTGAAATTTTTACTAGACTATGTTACTAGAAAAATTATGTGTTTTAAGAAAAACCTCAAAAAATTTGTATGACAGAGAAAAAAATAAGGAAGCAGAGAAGGTATATTGAGACACATAGAAAATATACGCATACTAAAAAGAAATGGAAACTTATGACTTGAGAGTAAGAAACTACAAAAAAATGGGAGAAACTTCAAAAACCAAGTGAGGAAAAAGTCCAAAATGATAGGGAAGAAAGGTTTCAAGAAATTAAAAGCAAAAGAAGAGGCCAAGGATTTTTTAAATGTGTGAGGTCATTGGTAATGTCTCAAAGCAGAAGAAGGACTGGAGCTGTTGCCATATCCACAAATTCCTATGCAGTAAAGAGCAGGTTAATGTTTGCCATGAAGGGTGCTTTTCTTCAGATTCTGCAGATTTCATGCTGCTCTGTGATTTCACATGCTGCTTTAACTTGAGAGGCTCCCTAGCAACTATCCTGTAATTTTAGATGCAGATGGAGTAGGTAACATAATTACATCTATCTTGCATAATTATAATGCTTTCTACACTGTATCTATAGCTAAAAGTAAATTCATTATTTTCCTAGAAATTTTTATTTAATAGGGTAGAAGTCATTTCTTAGCTTTAAAGAAAATAAACATTTCTAATGCTTGTATCCCAAAAACTTCCTCCATATATTTATAAATTAAAGCTATAGTGTATTACATCACTACATGTATATCACTATAGTGATATATGTATCACTATACACTACACATATATATACTATACGTATAATGATATACGTATAGTGATGTAATATATGACATATATAATGATACAATACACTATAGCTTTAAATATAAAACAGCTATACTCCATGTGTTAGACTGTTCGGCTAATATAACAAAATAACATAGACTAGGTAGCTTAAATGACAAAAATTTATTTTGCACAATTCTGGAGGCTAGAAGCCCAAGATCAAGGTGCCAGCATGATCATTTTCCGGTGAGGGCTTTCTTCCTGGCTTGTAAAACAGCTACTTTCTCACTGTATCCCCACATGGCAGAGACATAGACAACAAGTTCTCTGATGTCTATTATTATTATAAGTGTACTAATTCCATTATGAGGACCCCATCCTAATGACTTCATCTAAACCTAATTTACTCCCAAAGGCCTCATCTCCAGATACCATCAAAATGGGGATGAGAGCATCAATGTACGAATTTTAGGGGGAAACCATTCAATCCATAGCAGTCTACAAACCACACATTTCAGTCAACCAATCAACATTTTTTTTATGTGCAAGGCACTATTCTAGGAGTTGATAATATCATAGTTAAGTAAGAAAATTTATCCCACTAGGAACTTACATTCTGGGAGGAAAGGGAAACAGCCAAACAATAACTATATAAACAAGTATGATTCAGCTAAGTTTTGAGGAAAATAAAAGAGGAATGGGATATGGGGAAGAACTACTTTAACCAGAAGGGTCAGAAAAAGGCTGTCTCAGCAAGTGGCTTTCAAATAGAGAGCTAAATAATAAAGATGAAGTAGCAATGAACAAACTAAACCAAGCAAAAAAAATGCTCAAATAGCATTTACTATACATAAGCATTCTTCCATTCAAGACACCATTCTCTGCATTGTTAAACAGTTTTACATAGTAGATTTCTTACCTATTCCTTTCAAAACCACAATGTCCTTCTTCCCTCAAACAGAATATGTAAACACACACAGCCTTCTCAACAAGTAAACATTCAATGAGAAAAGGAGAGTACAGCTCTTCAACTCTTACCAATATATAGCAATATCGCTTAAATCACTTATACCTGAGAAAAGTCCAAAGTTCAAAATTCAGCAAATGAATATAAAGACAACAAAGACACTGGGAGCCACCTAAACCCTTACCAAAATTTTCTCAAATTTCCAAACTCTGAATATGTCTTCTCCTTCAACATGCTTTTCTGGCCACTGTGATCAAATGTATCTTTTCTCTTTTATTTTATATGTTAACTGTCTGGTTGAGACACTCTATGACTTACTTACCTGCAAAATAAAGTGTACTGATTTTATAAGCATTTGCTTCAAACTAGTCTTCACTTACTGCTGAGGTCTGTGGCTTTGTTCTAGAATGGCTGAGGTCAAAGTCTGACCTCAGATAAGTGGGAAATACAGTAAATACATCCTTAGAGATTGTAAACTAGAATATTCAAAAATAACAGGTTTGCTTCACCACTGCATGAGGATGAGGCTTAGCCACATTGTAAGTCCATGTTTTCCTATTTTGTGGCATTGCCATTAAGCACATAAAAAAAAAGAAAAAACTCACTAAGCACTTGTCGAAAACATGTATTGACTACAAAAAAAAGTCTGTGTGCACTCTGGGAATGTTCCTTGGGTAATTTACTATCTAGCAAAGAAGATAAAACATAGCCCTCTAAAGTGATAAATGTACTTATAAACAACCTAATAGCATATGGAGTAACCGTAAATAAACATCAAAACCATATTCTACCAAATTATATGTTCCTAAAAAGACCATGTTAAAGGGTTCTTAAATTTATAAGAGATGAAATAATGTCATAGAAAAAGTATCATAATTATAATAGCATAGCATTTCTGAAATGTATTCACATAAACCTTGGTATTAGCGTAGATCAAAAGAGGTCATGTACTGTCTAACTTTGCAAGAAAGTATGAAGATTTAGCATACAGCCTGGAATCTCTCACAATAATAAATGAGTAAAAATTGTATGGCCAAGTGAATATAGTCAGCCCTCTGCATCTGTAGGTACTGCATCCAGGGATTTAACCAGCTGGGGGTAAAAAAGTATTAGGAAGAAATAAAATGCAACTGCACTGAACATATATAGACTTTTTCTCTTCTTATTATTATATTGTATTATTATGATACAATATAACAATAATTTACATAGCATTCACATTGTATTAGGTATTATAACTAACCTTGAACATATATAGACTTTTTCTCTTATTATTATATTGTATTATTATGATATAATATAACAACAATTTACATAGCATTCACATTGTATTAGGTATTATAACTAATCTAGAGATTATTTAAAGTGTACAGGAGGATGTGCACAGGTTATATGCAAATACTATGCCATTTTATATCAGGGACTTGAGCATTTATGGATTTTGGTATCTAAGAGAGGTCCTGGAGCCAAGCCCTCACAGATACTGAGGGACAACTGTATTTAGAATAAATGTTTAACTTTGCACAATGGCAGTATCGTAGCCAATGAGGTTTATCCAAGGCGGAATTACTGCTGACAGAATAGATGTTTGCTTAAAAGACTTTATGCAGAATCATGAGAATCTAAGCACCTAAACTTAAGGTGGACTTTTAATCCATTTTTTGGCATTAATACTTTTTTCTGCTGCAAATCTGTTTAATGATGCTAATTTGCTTAAATCATGGAATTATTTTTACATTTATAAGCATATTTATTTTCTATGTGCTAAAATACATGAAGTTTATTTGCTTAAATTCACCGAAACAGTTTACTTGATTTTTCTTTTAAAAACATTTTAAATTTCCAAACTAACTGTTTACAAATTCTAAATACCTTAAAAAACATTTGGAACAGAAAAACTCATTTTACTTACTGAGTCAAGTCTAAGATGCATATTTCATCACACCTTAAGATTTCTGAATTAGGTGGTATTAAAATATAATTTAGTCTTTTCTGTCCCCTCAAAACCTATCAGTAAATTGATGGCATTCCTTAAACATCTATGTCATCTTGGACTTGAGGAAGTACTAGCAACTACTTTAAATGTCTACTACTGTGGATGATGACTAAGGTAGCAAGGCGGAAGAAAAACATTCTCACTGGCATCAATTAGTTTGTAGATTTTGAAAATGATATTCTCCCAATGACTTCAAAACTGTTCCATTTAGTTCCAATAAATAAAATGACAATTTGATTTTCTCAATTATTAGAACAGGGATAAGAAAATGACATAAGCCCTTTAAAATAAAAGCCAGCACAAAATTTCAAAAACCTGTACCTATATTGTTAATTCTCATAACTGCCTCCAATTCTTGGCATTTTTTGAGACTAAAATGTCAGTTAATTTTCTCATTGCTATTGTTATTCCGTAACAAATAATTGAAAAAGAAATTTTTTTGGAGACAGGGTCTGGCTCTGTCACTGAGGTTAGAGTACAGTGGTGCAATCATAGCTCATTGCAACCTCAAACTCCTGGGCTTAAGCAATCCTTTAGTCTCAGCCTACCAAGTAGCTAGGACAACAGGTGCACACACCATGCCCAGCAGCTAATTTCGTTTTTTGGTTTCTTTTTTTTTTTCTTGAGAAATGGGGTCTCACTAAGTTGCCCAAGCTGGTCTCGATTTACCTGGGCTCAAGCAATCCTCCTGCCACAGCCTCCCAAAGTGTTGGGATTACAGATATGAACCACCGTACTAATAATCAAATTATTAAGTTGTACATTTTCCCCTCATGGTTAGAAAAGTAATAAATTGTTTTTGTTTCTATTAAAAACTGAATATTTAGGTGATAAAATTAATAAAATTTGTATACTCTTCTCATTGTTTAAATGGTATCAAATAAGCTAGTTTTTTCTAATAAAAAAAGAGTTAAAGCTATTTTCATTTTTAAAAATAAATTTTTATTTTTGTGAAATGGCCCTTATTTTACTTAAGTTGCTGACTACTAATCAGAGAATAAAGATAGTGAATGAGGAGAAACAGTATAAAAGTGAAATGTTTATTCTATAAATCAATACTTTAGTGAAGAAAGAAAAATGACTTAAGGTGCTTATTAGGAACATCAATCATGGTGTTGGTAATCAGTATCTGCAAATACTGATAAAAAGGTGCAAATACTGATTAAAAAAAGGTACAAATACAAGTTATATGTTTCAGTGCACAGAATCAAATAAGTGGTAACCCTACAGATATGCTTGTGATCACTGCACTCACCCCTACACATGGACATAAAACTAGTTCATCATCTTCTCTAAAAAAATTAAAAAATAAAAAATGAAGCTTGTCAACTTTAGTGGCTCTTAGGCAAATGTATGATCAATTTTCTATAAAACTCAAGGTGAAAATAAACAATAAAAAAACTACTTGAAAAAATCATTTTTCTCCAAACATTTTTTTCATTTCAACAATTCTTAGAGACACAGACACCCGTAAGTGCTTAATAACAGTATACAAAAATAAAGAAAACATGGTCTTTTCCTTCAAGTTTTATTGCTATGAGATTGAGAACTCCAGGTCCCAGCAATCTACTAACTAATTCCATAAAAAATAAGTATCCTCATGGAAAGCATGTGTTTAACCCTTCTTACCACACATAATTCCCTTTAACAGCAATCAGCAGGGAAAAGAATCTAAGAATATGGTATTAACAATAGTATAGCTTTTAGATGTCTCAAAAATCCCTTACAGAACAAATTTTTTAAAAAATAGAAGCACAAACTGGGATATTCCTATCACAAATCTATATCCCTTGTGAATGCCAAAATATGAACAGGTGAAGACAAACCATCAATAGTCCCAAAACGTGTATGGCATCCGAATCTGTGCAGGAAAAAAGGTAAAAGTAACAGGACATCAGACAGACATGGCAACTCTGAAATGGCTAACAGAAACTCACTGGAGAGGTCAGCATGCCAAGATAAGAACAGTAGCTGAAACTGAGAGAGGTCTACACAATTTCAGGTAAGTACAAGCAGTCTTCAATAAGGAGTCAGTGGGCCCAAAAAACTCTAAATACTTTCCAGATAAAGCCCGACACTGAGGACAAATTGCTGGGAAAATCCAAATTGACCAAACCAGAGACAATAGAGAGAGAAGAAAGAGAGGGTCAAGATAAAAGTGGAAGAAGTAAATGAAGTCAGAAAATTATAAAATGTTGCCACTATATTTTTTTTATCAGACAAAAACACAGAATTTTAAAATGAGAGAAAAAAACTATCTTAAATGACTCATTTAAAAAGTTTAAGAGAACCAATTTCATGTAAAAACAACAGAAGCACATTAGTTGAATCCCATACAATGCTATTATATGAAAAAAAGAAGGACCAGAATGACAGCCCTATAGAAAATAAAAGAATAGCAAAAAAAAAAAAAAAAAAAAAAAAAAGGTGTGAGTTGGCTGAAAGTAAAAATAAATAAATAAATAAAATAAAAAGAAAGATTAAAAACTCAACACAGTAAGCTAAAAGATACTTGGAAAATGATAAAGTAGATTAAAGAACAACATAAACCAAAGTTAGAACAACTCAGAAATGATGAGAGATTTTAGAAAAGAATTATGACAGAATAAATCATTTCAGAAATGATTATTTAAACTAAAGAATAAAAGGGGGAGCAAATTTTAGATCAAAAAGAAATGAAGCAATAAAAAGGAGTCAAGTAAAGACAAATGTAGAAGGCAAAGACTATCCAACATACAAATAACAGGAGTCACCATAAGGAAGACACAGTCAGAGAATAAAACAAACATTAAATTTATAATGTAATAACTTCTTAAAACTGTAAAGTAAGAAATTGAAACTACATATATTAGAAAGACATATTGTAAACCTAGAGGAATCAACCAAAAATCACCAAAAGCAGGATATAACAAGAAACTGGAAAAAGAATTAGATTGCTATTAGACTTTGACAGCAATGTTTTATGATAGAAGAAAATAATGTATTTCAGATGTTCATAGAAAGAATAGGAATTTCTATATGAGTCACTATGAAAAGGCCTCCAAGAAATAATCTTAACTAAATAAATATTTAGTACACTATTATCTAAATGAGACAGAAGGAAGGAGATATATGTATATTTATCATTGGCCTTGGTTTGCATTATAAAATATTCTACAAGGATTAAAAAAAAAAAACAGGAATTACCTGTTGAGGGCACAAAAGAACTAGGTGGATGTAGCAGAGGATGAGGTGTAGACTTTTCACTATATATCTTTATTTACTATATGCAGTTTTTGATGTTTGAATCACTTGAACACATTAATTAACTGGTGTCAGCCACTAATTTAGCATTTTTTGAAACTTTCCTGGAAAGTATAATGTGATCCTGGATTGAAGATTATTGTTCTAAAATTTAAGGAAGTCAAATAAGTGAAGCAAAACAGATGAAATGCAGAAATTCATGAAAACTACTGTATAAAGCAAAATTTTCAAGTTCATTGCTTGGACCTGAAAGTCTTATTTTTAAGAATATACAAGGTCAGGTATGGTGCTCATGCCTGTAATCCCAGCATTTTAGAAGGCCAAGGTGGGCAGATCACCTGAGGTCAGGAGTTCAAAGCCAGCCTGGTGAACATGGTGAGACCGCATCTCTACTAAAAATACAAAAATTAGCCGGGTGTGGTGGTACATGCCTGTAATTCCAGCTGCTTCAGAGGCTGAGGCACAAGAATCGCTTGAACCCAGGGAGGTGGAAGTTGCAGTGAGCCAAGATCATGCCACTGATTCCAGCCTAGGCAACAAGAGCGAAACTCCTTCTCAAAAACAAAAATATATATATATATATATACAACTGACACATTAAGTAAAATACCCTTAACATGTTGTTCTTTCTATATAAATAATTCTACCTGTTTGGTTTGAATAAACTTTTCTACACTATATAGACATGTTTTAATGAATGTAAATGCTTATTATGGCAATGTTTATTATTCTAATACAGTTTGACAAAGAGGTCTTCCAAATTTTAGTATTTAACCTATGGATTGAATAATTCAATCATTCAATTAGCTTTGAAATAAGAAAGAAAATACTTGACCATATCTCACAATGATTGATCTCTCACAGTGACTCTCATTTTATAAGGCCTATGAAGAGGATGGGATTCCTAACAACAGAAATACATACATTTCCCAACATCAAATCTAATCTAAAATATACTACTAAAAGAAATGCATGTAAGACCAACTAAAATATAAAATCCTTATTGTTTCATTTTTTACACACATTCCATTTATTAATTACTCTTTCTCTTGTCAGACTACAATTCTGACAAAGATACATCTTCAGAGTGTTTAGTCATGCCAAAAAATATGTAAATGAACAGAATGTCTTCAAGTGATGCTTAATGTGTACTAATATTTCCTTCAGCATTTTCCAATCCTACATAAGACCGCAAACTATATTTTGGGTTACCTACACATAACTGCTAAATTCTCTACATACCAGATTATCAAGTTAACTATTCTGGGTAGTCAAGCAACTGATCTAATCTACCCCTTAACCAACTTTATAAAGCACAATTATTATAGTAGCCTCTTGCCAAGCGCCCAATGTCCAACACCTGATTAGTACTTATTTTTAAAGAGTACATGAAAAAATTTAGATTAATATCTACTGGTACTTAAATAATACAATCTGTGAAATCAGCAACAGAATGTAAGTAGTAGTCTGGGGCTGTATAAATCCATTTATAGGTAAATTTAAGGTCCTCTGAAACACTTTATTTTCATAAAACAGTACTAGTTGTTTTTTTTTTAATTAAATTTTCAAGCCAAATAATCAAGCTGCTGTAGCCACGAGGCACTGCAATAGAAAATGGAATGTGAAAGAATTAAGTCCAGTCTTTAAAAAGTTTACACAAAAAATTCCCAAAGTTAGCCATAGATACCAATACTGACGACTATCAAAGATAATAATTTTATAACCAGCTGTGTCTGGTAACTGAATTTTTAGAAATGTGGCAGCATGAGGACATGTGCTATCTGATGAGCTGCCAAGTTTCCTGAGTGCTTGTCACAGGTGTTGACCCACTTGTTACAGGAGTCAAAGAAAGGAGACAAAAGGGACTGGAATCCAAGTTGTACTAAAATGAGGAGTTCTCTATTCAAGTTTTGTGAAAGTCCTTTAAATAGCTATTTCTGATAAATGCAGCATGACTCACTTTTCTTCCTCTGGTTAGGCTACACACCCTGGACAGAACAGGAAAAGGGGACATAGCACACACCCCCATTGTACTATAGAGTTCACAGTATTTATTTCCTTTTGTTATGGCACATTCACGCCTCTCCACCTATCCTGGTAATTAGACCATATCACATAAAATAACACTGTTAGAATTATCTGTAATCATTAATGTTGTTTTTTAAAAGTTTGTTTAAAGGTTTTACAAACATTCCATTTATTAATTACTCTTTCTCTTGTCAGACAAAAATTCTGACAGATACATCCAAAACCTGGCCTAAGTAGAGGAGTAGATTTTCCAAAACTGAAAACTCAGAGCCCAGTATTCTGAAATCAGGTGAAAATATTTAGAATTTTCATGGTGAGAAATAGCTATAAATTTTGTTTTCCTTTTTCTATATTGTCCACATTTTCCAGACTACACATACTATTTTTATAAATACATACACATACTAACATTTCTTAAGGAGAAAGAACTTCTCAGCTAATTTAATCTAGCAATATCTTACTGGACTCCTAAATGTTTTGCTTTATTTAGGATACCACAGAGATGCAGGCACCAGTATATTGTTCCTGTCATCATAAATAACTCTTTTCATTTCATTAAGCTTCACAGACATTTAAAAGACCTGTATGTTAGATACCTTGATATTAAAAAATTGCCATATTCTACAGAAAATATGTCATAAATAAGATTCAATTATCTAAAGGATGACTGGCAGACCATAAATCCAAACAAGAAATTTAATATATATTCACTGTTTGTATTAGTCCGTTTTCACACTGCTGATAAAGACATACCCGAGACTAGGCAACTTATAAAAGAAAGAGGTTTAATGGATTCACAGTTCCACTTGGCTGAGGAGGCCTGACAATCATGACGGAAAGTGAAAGGCACGTCTCACATGGCAGCAGACAAGAGAAGAGAACTTGCACAGGGAAACTTCCCTTTATAAAACCATCAGATCTCGTGAGACATTTACTATCACAAGAATAGCACAAGAAAGACACATCCCCATGATTCAATTATCTGCCACCAGGTCCCTCCCACAACATGTGGGAATTATGAAAACTACAATTCAAGATAAGATTTGAGTGGGGACACAGCCAAACCATATCACTATTTAAAAACTTACTTTGCTAATATTTCATCCTATACATATTTAACATACAGTAGCCTCCTTTGACACTCACAAATTTAATCACATCTCTTATTCCTAAGAAATTATTAGGTAGAAACGACTTTGTGTTAGTTTGAAAGAAGTCCATAACCCTCAGAAAGAACTGGATTGCAGAAAGGTCAAATACGGAAGCCTAAGATTTCTAAATTCTTCCTGAATCAGGTATTTACAGTACAATGTAAATATTTTTGTTGAAAATACACTTTCAGAATATCTAACACATACACATAAATATGCACAAACTTAGTAAATATAAAGCAGATATAGAGATTTATGTATTATCTCCCATTTCGAATTATCCATATATTTTTATGCATCCTTCCTCTATCTAGAATGACTCCATGGGAGCTCATTAACCTGTTTCCCCACCTCCAAAAAAAACCGACTCAAAGTTACCTGTTTCAAATTAATGTATTTTAACTTTGATATCAATTTCCTGATGTAGCTACAACAAAGAATAACTAAAATTTAAAAGGTTGCTTTCTATCCCACTTCCAGATTAAAATTAAAAAGACACACTTCTCCCTATTTCTATCAATAAATAGAGCTAAAAAGTTTGGACATTTTATTAAAACAAATTTAAGAGGATTCTGGAATGCAGAGGGAAGGCAGACTAACTAGGGACCTGGGAATCCAAGGAATGACAAAGCAGTGAGTTCTGTGAGTTTTCTTTTAGCCTCATATATCCCAAACTGGGGAGTGGAATAGCCAGCAACCAGGAAACACCAACAGGCACAAAAGCCCCAATAAAAGTCAATCCTCTGTAACAAAAGGGCCATCCATGAAAGGCACAATCTAGCAAGACAGAAAACTTTTAGACAATAAACATCCTACACCAACCAAATACCATGGAAAAAAAATTTAAAAAAAAACACGCATGGCCCTAACTTTGAAACTTTTAATCAACAGTAAACAATGACTCAAACAAAATACTTTCTTCTAAATAGTCATAGTGTAGGCCTATTGAACAATGTCCCTATAGGACACTGAAAAGACACACTGCTCACCTTTTTCCTTATTTCCAAGTTTCGCCTTTATTTTTAAACCACCTCTGTCACAAAAGGCCGAGTACTGAGCCTAGATTTCCACTCTCGCCCCAGCAACAATGCAGTGCCCATAGATGACCTCGATGTGGTATCAGAGAAAACCAAGTGGTTGTGAAGACAGTTTTAGGACTTCTATCCCCATCCAAAAGGAAAAAGACTCTCTCTCCCTCCTTTCCTGTGTCAGAGGAAGCTGAGTGGGAAGCCAGAACTTTTATAACTATCCAGAGGTAAGAAGATCTCACCTAATCTCACAGTAAGGCACCCGTGGAACAGTAATAAGGTGCCTCTCCTGCTCCCAGCCAGGGATGTATCTGCTAAGGCCTGTGGGAGCCCTGAAATCCCACCTTATCTCAGGAGTAAGGCAGTATCCCTCCTACCCAGGGTGTCAAAGGGGGCTGAGTGGAAAACTTGTCATTTTACTTGCACCTGACATTAACAAAATGGTTAATCTTTTCCCAAACTATACAGTATCAGATGAGGCCTGCTAAAATACAAGATTTAAATAAGATCCAAGGTATCATACAAAATACCCAAAATATGCAGGATAAAATTAAAATGCACTCATCATACTAAGAATCAGAAAAATCTCAACTTGGGTAAGAAAATACTATCAATAGTAACACTGAGATGACATTTTTCTAACAAGGATTTTAAAGCAACCATAATAAAAATGCTTCGGCAGGGAATTATGAAACATGCTTGAAACAAACAGAATAGAAAGTTTAAGCACAGAATGGAAGATATGAAGGAGAACCAAATGGAAATTTTAGAACTGAAATATACAATAACCAAATAAAAAACAAAGAATTGGCACATCAAATGAATGGAAGGGACTGAGGATAGAAATGCTTTCCTCAGAGATGGTATGGTGACATACAAACTGAACAGTATGCCTACTTTAACTTCGATTTGGCTATGAGACCTCCTGGTACATTTTTCTATAATTTATTTAGCCAAGGTGTTTAACACTCCGTAAGTTACTCTTTTATTCCCATGCTATAAAAAGGAGAGAGAAGCCTATAGGTCCTAAAATGAAGTCATCTGAAAAAAGTTTTCTTTGAAAGTACTGATTCCTACAAAAGGAACTAGCTTTGAAGACTCAAGTCATCACTCCTAGATTATCACTATTAATAGTAAACGCAGTGAGACAACAATGATAATGCCAGATAGCATTTATATTGGTCATTAATGTAAAAACAACCCAAAGTGATATACGTTAAGTCTCACGTAGTCTCTCTGATATGTTACTGTTCCCATTTATAGATGGAAAAACTGAACTCTCAAAGATGTATGTCTCACTAAAGGGTCCAGAATAAGTCATTCAGTGGAGACAAAGAAACACAAAGTTATCTCATTATTCAGTACTATGCCTTTTAATCAGCACCATAGTTCCAAGGATGAGGTCAGTAAGTGTGGCTATACACAATGTAATTAGTCCTTGGGGAGCAGGGTGCATGATATTAGTTCATCTATTCAATTCATCCAACAGTATTCATTGAACATGCACTATATGCCAAGTACTACTGGGAAGGAAAACTCCTTAATCTCAAGGAATTTACACTGTAGTGGAGAAAAGACAGAAAATAAACAAATCAAAATAAAATAACAGGTAGGAATAAGCGGTATGGAAAAGAAAAAAATAAAAAGGGCTAGGGGATGCTGAGCAAGTACAAAGGGCCTTATTTTATACAGCACGATTAAGAAAAGCCTCCACAAGAGTAGCATTTGAGCAAATATCAGAAGGAAGCTAGAGTTCAGCGAGAGCTGTTAAAAGTATAATTTTCAAAAAGTTAATCTGACTCATGTAAATACCAATTGAAGATATACCAAAGATTTATTCTGTTCATTTACTAATGAATTAATCATTTATCTTAAGACTGAATGAATATTAAGACTGGTTCAAGAAGCATTTGAAGAACAGGATTTATATAGGAAATTTAACAATGGAGTGTTAACTAGGAGCAATAGGTTAGAGACGAAACTGGTTAATATCCTATAAGACCGAATGAATAAGATGCTAAGACTGGTTTAAGCAGCATGTGAAGAACAGGATTTAGATAGGAAATTTAACAACATGGAGTGTTGGACTAAAAGCACTAGGTTAGAGATAAAACTTGTTAATATCCTACAGGGCAATTAATTATATTCTTAGAAGTTATCTTTTCTAACAGACAGAATTATTCGCATCTCTTCAGGGGAAAAAATCTATAAATTAACATGTAACTTCACTACATCTGAGACTTTTATTCAAGAATAAACAGTGAGTCAAATAAAGTACTTTCTCCTAAGTACTCCTGAGGTGGGCACATTAAACAATGTCATCACAGGCACTGAAAAGACACACTGCCTGCGTTTTTCTTATTTCCAAGTTTTGTATTTTTAAGAAACTTATCTACAGGAGGAACAGCATTCCAGGCAGAGATATGTGAGTGAATCATGGACCATACCCCTCCAACAGGCAAAGAATGTCCTTCCCCACGCATACTCACACATTCACCTATACCTTATTATAAAGCTTGGTGTAAATAAATACCTGAGGGTAAACTGGAGAAGCTTGAAAATGTATATTGGAATGAAAATAGGAATTGAGTCTGGGATCTGATTTGATTTACATTTTTAAAACACTACTCTTACCTGCTGAATTAAAAACTCATGAAGGAAAAGAACAAGGATGGAAGCCAGAAGACCACTTAGGAGACTATTACAGTGATCCAGGCAAATAAACAAGTAAATATATAATTTGTCAAATGTAAAAGGTGCTAGGAATAAAAATAAAGCAGACTATGATAAGGTGGATGGAGAGGATGTCAGCATTGTCTGGAAAGGCTTATCTGATAAGGTAATACTTGAACAGAGACTTGAAGGCTATGAAGAAAACCATGCAGGTATCTGAGGGAATCTGAGCACTCTGGACATTAGGAAAAAGAAAAATGACTGAGGAAAAAGAGGCAAGGAAAAGAGAGGAAGAAGGGACATAAGGGAACACAGAGCCTTGAAAACCAGTTTAAGGACCTGGCTTTTAGTGTGGGAAAGATAAGAAGCCCACGAAGGTTTTAGAACAGAATAATGACATGACTAGCTTTAAGTTTCAATCAGATCACAGTGGCTGCAATGGGGGGAATGGTCTGCACGTGGGCAGTGACAAAAACAAAAGACTAGTTAGAATATACTTTAGTAATCCAAGGGAGAAATAATGATAATATACAATATGTTAATAGCGCTGACCATGATGATAAATGGTTGAAACCTGGATATTCTGAAGGTACAGCCAACAAATCCTGCTAAAGAAACAGACATTGAGTAAGTACAAAAAGGAATGAGTTAGTTTTAGTCTTAGCAATTAGAAAGATGGAGTTGCCATTTACTGTGTTAGGTTAGACTGTAGAAGAAATAAATAAGAAAATTTAGGAAGGAGAAAAGGAGACAATTTATTTAAAAAAGTTAAGTGTCTCAGTTCTGGATTACAGGATTCTAAATGTAATTCAAATGTAATTATTATAACAAAAATTAGAATAAACAGTTCCCAAAATGTATCCATCAGAAACAGAATATTTCTTACCAAATTGTTTGGGCCTCAAACTACTAATCCTCAGGGCTGCTCACAGACTCATATTTTTCAAAATGGGTGTCTTCCCATTAATTTAGCCCATGTTGGTCAGTTTTATATATTTAAGCAAGTATCTGATTCTTCATTCATAAGATATTCATTATGCACTTTTTGAAATTATAGCACATGCTTCATCAAAAGGCTTACATTTTAAATCTTAAGTTCAATCGCCTTACCTGAAGTTCTTTGTATCTATCTTGAAAAGAAATGGCCTCTTGCTCTTTTTCTTTTAGAAAGCCTTTTTCTAAGACATTATGCTTTTCCATCAATGATTCCACATCCTAAAATAAAAATACAAATACAAGCTTTGTAATATTTAATGGCATAAAATATAATTAGTTTTTTCAATGAACATGTCAGAAAACATTTGTCAGAGAAAGAATCCATGGGAAGTACGGCTTAAAATCTAACAATATTATAAATTATATGCTTCACTCTAATTTCTAGGCCAATATCAAACATGGACACAACATTTACTCATTCCAACAAATGAATATGAGCATCTCAACTAATTTCATCAACATAATCTACCTCTACATACACTTTCTATAAATTTGCTATATATTCACAGGGAAGAAAGCATAAGTAAAGAATTTACTAAAATGGCTGTATACCTAAGTACTCTTGTCAAATATCCTGTGATGCCTAACTTCCCATAGGGAAAAGTTGATGTCGCAAAATTTCACCTCCTCATAAGAAACACAATACTACCTGCTTTCAAAGTAAATAAAAATAAACCAAAAAAGAAAGCAATAGTTAGAAAAAACCTAGTAAACGATGTTCATATCTTTAAAAGTACATATGTAAAATATATTTCTTATCAAAGGCTTTTCTAAGTGATAAGCTCATGACTGCTTTAAACCTACAACCAAGGGAGAAAAGTATCTTCTTCCTCTGATGAGTTTTTAATCAGAGTTTGAGATTATATCAAATTTCTAATATTTGCAATTCAAACATTTCTTAGGCAAATGTAAATATACCTGTTTAATTCTCTGTTTTTCTTCTTCAGATACTTTGAGTTTAATCTCCAGACTTGAAATTTTTTGCTGAAGCTGTATGTTAGATACATTGGCTCCAGGATCCTCAGAATCATCCACAAGGGCAATTGTTCCATTACTTTTTTCATCAGTTAAACCCAATGGAAAAAGTGAGATATCCAGATGAGTGTGTGTTGATTGCTGAATCTAAACCACATAAAAAAAAAAATACACAAGAGAGGAAAGTTTACACTATACCAATAATGAAAACATCCAAAGGGCACTAGAAACCACATTTGGAAATTAAGTTGTTGAAAAGGTTCCGAAATTATTTCACCCTTTAAGTAAATCAAGAGAAGACCTCAAACTTTTACAACAACCCGATCTTTGCTGTAAGAAACAAAATTTCCTCTTAATTTTGAAATCTAAAGTATTCATTATTTTGCTACCAATGCACTAAAAGACTTAACTTTTTCCTGTGCTTGAAAATGTATGAATAAGGATAGACATATCTGGTTGTTAACAGTTCTTAAATTTACACACAGACCTAGAATTTGTTTATATTTTAAACTGTAAATCAAACTCTGAAATTTATCAATGACCTCTATTGATCACCACTGTCTCGCAAAATTAACAGGTGACTCAAAATTGTGTACAGCACTTTAGAAATTGGGACTACCTTCAGCAGCTAGCATAAATTCTTGCTTTAAAAAATATTTGAATGAATAAACCTTATA